>NC_000013.11:76438409-76589924 GCF_000001405.40 Homo sapiens | reverse complement strand
TTGAATGATTTTTTTTTATATTTTGATAAGAAATAAAAGAATCAAAACTAGTTCATGTTTACATGGAATGGACAAAAATATTTACTAATAGGTTTGCTCTACCTAAGGCTATGTTAACTAATTTTTCCACTCTCATAATAAGGTATGAAGAGATCTGGATAGTTTGGGTAGCCCACAGAACTTCACATTAATTTACTAGATCAATGACATGAGACTAATCGGGCAGTATGAGAGCAAGGTGTGGCTAATGTGATAGAAACCTACATATGAAGCCAATCTATCCTTCTTTCTTGGTCTCAACACAGGTCTTCCTCTCCTCTTTTTAGGGCTAATTCATTTACTTCCTCAGGAATCTTGTGATGTTGATTATGCTTTCTTTGTTTATATAGTAAACATCTTCCTCTCAAGTATATCTTTCTAAACAATTTTTGAAGCTCTCTATTAAATCCAGAGCCAGAAATTCTCTCTCTCTACCCCAAGTCCCAACTAGACTGCACTTTTCTTCGTAGCTTTTTGAAAGGGTTTTCTATACTTGTTGCCATTCCTTTATCCTGCCCGGTCCCATAATCAGTTTTTTAAAATTTAGTTTCAATCCCCATTATGTAATGGAAAAAAAAAATCCATTTTTAAGGTCAATAGTTACCTCCATGTTGCCAAATTGTTTATTTTTTAGTCAATCTTACTTGGTTTTTCAGCAGCATTTGATAATATATTCCAGCTCTGCAATCCTCTTGAGCTCCAGATTCATATAACCAACAGCCTACTCGACACTTTTACTTAGATGATTCAAAGTCAACTTGAACTCAAATTATTTAGACCCAAAGTAATACTCTAGCTGACACATCTAGTCTTTGCTTTCAGTTGTCCCTGTCTCAGTAGTTCCAGAAACTCAGGAGTTAACCTTCGGATTTCCGCCTTTCTTATTCCCAATATCTCATCTAGCCCCTAGGGAGGTTCTTTTATCCTCCTGGTGCTGTTCAAATTTGTCCCTTTTTCTTCTCTACTGTCCCTCCCCTGGTTCAAGCCACCGTATCTCTCACCTAGATGATTGTAGTAGCTTCCTAGGGGACATTCTCTTATTTCCAGTTGTACTCCTCCAGTTTTGACTCTGTAGTCAGTGATATTTTTTTTCTCCAAACAGAACCCTGATCAAGTCACCCCTTCCATAGAATACCTAATAAAATAACTGAAATATTTAATGTGGGCAAATGTGCCCTACATGATCGGTCCTCACTTTTCTTCATGTTCCACATGAATCTTCTACAATTCCCTCAACTTGCATTTACCACAAAGGTGACTCTTGCCATTCAATCACCAGCTACACAGGAAAGCCTTCTCTGGACACCTCAGTCACATCTCCTTATTAAATGCTCTCAATACATGTACAGCATTCTATTTTTTTAGGACACATTTGACTACAGGTTACTCTGTGGCAAACACAGTATAAGCATTTTAAATAACACAATACTCTTAATATAAATCTTATACAAGGAATAATTTTAAAATGTCCATTTTACCTATCAGCAAACTGGGTACAATGAGGTGAAGTAACTTGCTCAGAGTCACACCACCAGTCCATGGCAGTCGGGATCAACCCCAGGCATCTAACTCAGAGTCCATACTTTCAACTACCTCACTTACACTGCCTCTGTCTCTCAGTGAGGTTTATCATTGCTAAAATGTACATTTGTGAGATTGTTTGTGAATGTCTATTGCCTCATTGCAAGAAAAATAGTCTGTTTTGCTCATTACTATGGTGCATATTACGACCAGTAATGAAAGCATGAAAACAATGGAATGAATTAAATACCAGACCATGTATTGACACGATTGCATTTTAAATGTTGACTTCCCCTCACATGTGTGCCCTACCTTGGAATTTCATATTGCTAGGTTAAATTGGCATTGGGCAGAGGAGTTTGAAATAGGCAATGAATATTTTCATAGCCTTATAACTTAATAAATTAAGAGTCTGGAGTAGAGAGATCAGCATTTCAGAAATGTTATAAAAAGTATTCACTTTTGATTCATATTGAAAGTTTCATGAACCAGAAGTCATCTTTCCTTCCTCCAATTAATTATGAATTCAGACTGCTTGTCAAGCTAAAGCCAAGGGATAACAAGAGAAGATAGCATTTTTGTGATTATAGACTAACACTTGCTCATTACATGAAATTTTAAAATGTAGGAGATTATTAAGAAGAAATTAAGAATCAAACCCTGGTTAATTTACCAAGGAAAGAAAAACCAAACATAATATTTTGAATATTTTGGTGCATAAATCCTTTAACACCTGTATACATAAATAAATAATATTTACATATACTTATTTACCAAATAGAAATGCATATATATATATGTGTGTATGAGTATGCATACTTTCAAAATCAGCATGTTATTTTAAATGAGTAATTGTTTGTAACTTAACCTTACATTAGAAGAATATTTCCCTATTATTGTCTTTCAAAACAGGGTACTTAATGATGAAATAATAATCTTATAGATAAGCTATAATTTATGTTACCGTTTTTCTTAATTTTAGTATTTTCTTTTGAATAATAATTAAATGTTCTTTTATGTATAAATCACTATCCACCTCTCTAAAATTTTCCTCATTATAGACTTCCCCAAAGTGGAAATAGTGGATCAGAAAAAATAAACTTTGAAGTCTGTTGATTCATATTGCCTGATTGATTTCCAGAAAGGTTATAGGTAATTAAACACTCTTAACAGAAGTATTTAAGGATGCCTAGCTTATTATATCTTTGCCAGCATTAAATATTGATTGTGGAAACAAAATCTTTGATGGTCAAAAACTTTGATAACTCTCTGTTAATGAGTGTTTGGGAAATGGTCATTCTGTTATTATTTATTTATTTATTTATTTATTTATTTATTTATTTTTACAGTCTGACTCTGTCACCCAGGTTGGAGTGCAGTGGCATGATCTCGGCTCACTGCAACCTCTGTCTCCTGGGTTCAAGAGATTCCTGTGCCTCAGTCTCTGAGTAGCTGGGATTACACGTGTGTACCACCACGCTCGGCTAATTTTTTGTATTTTTAGTAGAGACAGGGTTTTGCCATGTTGCCTAGGCTGGTCTCAAACTCCTGAGCTCAGGCAATCTGCCTACCTCAGCCTCCCAAAGTGCTAGGAATATAAGCATGAGCCAACGTGCTGGTCAAATGGACATTCTTATACTTTGTCAATGTGTGTAAATATTGCTACAAGCTTCATGTAGGGAAATTTGAAAATTTGTGCTAAAACTTAAAATTGACTCCTTTTTGATAGCAATTTAACTTGCAGGAATGATACCTCCAGATATATTGATGCTTGATATCAAAGTTGTGTATAGAAAAATATTCATGGCCACCTTATTTATAATAATAAAATGTTGTAAGCAACACAACCATTCCTCTAAAAGAGGTTGATCATATAAACATGGCATGGCCATACCACAGACTACTGGATCAATTAGAGCTCTGTGTGTTGAAAATAAAAAAGAGGAGGGTACTACTCTCAACTCTATTTTGCTGATAAGGGAGCTGAAGTACAAAGAGGTTAACTAACCTGCTTAGTCACACTGTAATTAAATATATAATTAAAAAGTGAAGGAGTTTCTCAGATTATGACATATATTATTGGTTTCCAATGGGTTTATTATAAATGCTTTTTTATCTTTCATACTCTCTTTTCTGGCCAAAACAAAATCGTTAGCAAACAGAATAAACTTATATGAAAACATTTATTTTATATAGGTCTGTACTAAAAATAGATAATTTTAAAAAGCATGATCAAACTGATGTACCCTCTTCTGTGGTCACATATATTATTTCCCGTAATTCAATAAAGTATGGCATTTGCATAAAAAAAAAAACTAAAAATGGCTTACACGATAAGAAAATAGATTGATAACTTGAAAGTTCAGAGGTTAGAGCGGACTTTAGGGTGGCCTTAATTCTTTGTCTGTCACTGTCCCCAAAGACCTAGTTTCTCTGCTCTTCCTTTGGTAGTGTCTGTTACAACACAAGTCTGGTTCCACTTGTGATTGCAAGATGCTCTGTGCCTCTTAATCTCATGGAGGGAGGGAGCAATTCCCTGACTTGTCAAAGGACCTGGCTTCATTTTGACTGGACCAACATGGGTTATTTGCATACCTTGAAACAAGCACTGTTGATCAATATTCACCTAAAGACAACCCTCTCACTCAAATTTTAGTGCAGTGACATAAAGGAGGTGGGAAAGTAGAGCGATAATGGGAAGTAATCACAATTTCAGCTACAACTGCTGTTCAGCAACTAAAATATGAATTCATTTAATTCATTTTATAGGCACTGATACAACATCAACTCTAAGATATAAAGGTGAAATAAGAAGGTGTTCCAACATCCAGTATTATGACGTCGATTGACTTAAGTTACATAACCCTTATTGTGTTGAAGAAGATTCTTCTATTCTTAATCTTCTTTAAAATATTAGCAATAGGCTGGGCATGGTGTCTCATGCCTGTAATTCTAGCACTTTGAAAGGCCAAGGCGGGAGGATCACTTGAGCTCAGCAGTTCCAGACCAGCCTGAACAACATAGTGAGACTTTATCTCTACAAATAATAATAATAATATATTTAATATTGTCAAATGTCTTTCTGGCATTTATCAAAATCATCATATTCTTAACACATAATCTCTTAATGCAATATTCTATATATTAATAATATTCATCAAATGAATACTGAAATCAATATTGCATTTCTGGTGAAAACAAATCTTGTTTGCATAGGTAAGTAATTTGATATACTGAAGTTCTTATGCAATTTTAAAGAAAAGTACACAAACTTATGCAAATAGGATATTAGTGTATTTTCATAATGTTCAGATATTTTATCAATAAAGTTTTGTTATCTGCTTTTACTTCAAAGATAGGACCAACTGTTAACAGAGAATAGAAATTTAAACACTCTTTAAATGACAAAAATTGGAAGGAAAATAATGAAGCAAAACATTCTGTAGCATCTCAGGCTTATGAAAAAGCAGAAGGGGTCACTGTGTAACACTGCTTCTGGAAGGCTCAGTGTCATGCTAGAAACAGCCTAGGACCTGAGGTTGGAGAAACCTACAGAGACCAAGCCTTGATCCCACTACTAACAATCTTTTTGAGCTTACAAGTATTTTATCTAAGATTTTTGTACTTATTTCATTAATAAAACTGGTTTTTACGTTTCTTTTGTGTGTGCTCAAAGGATTGTATGTTAAACTTTTATTAGCACATTTTTCTGTTTATTGAATATTTAAATTAATTCATAGTTTTACTCAGTAGTCTTATTTGTAGATAAATCCTTGATGATATTTTCAAGTCCTTCGTTGGTTACTAGTTTATTCTTTTTTTTAAAAAAAACCCTTCCTCTTAATTTTGGTAATTTTTATTACATAATTGTAATTTGGTAGTGTATACTAGACTAGCTATTTTCAAAGTATAGTCCAATACATTTTTAGGAAACTACAAGGTCAAAATTATTTTCATTGTAAAATTAAGATGATATTTGCCTTTTCATTCTCATTTTCTTCTGAGTACATGGTATTTTCCAGAAAATAAATAATGCATAATGATGTTACTACTCAGCCAGTGAAAAGTGTGTTCGTGTATTCTTGTGTTTTAAATATTTCCTAGTTTTAATTTTTAATATGGTAAATATTGATAGAGATATCTCACATACACAAAAGCACTTTGGGCTTTTGAAATAAATTTTAAGTGTTAAAAGGAGTCCTGAGAGAAAAAGTTTGAGAATGACAGTTCTATCTAGACATTGTCTATTTTTTTTAAGTGCAAAGTTTTTACACAGTGACTTTAAAAATATTTCTTTACTGTTAGTGTTCTCTCTGTAGGTATCTATATCTCCCTTATTTATGTTTCACACATTTAAAAATTAGATATGCCAGAAGTCTGTCCATTTGATTGGTTTCACTTTTTGCCTTACCATATTACCATAGCCATAACTCTAATCCTATTCTGAATTATTTAATTTTTAGATTTTGTGTATCTTTTCTAAAAATCTCAAGTTTAATAGTTCATTAAATTTTATTCTTTATTGTTTAACATGAAAACATTTAAAGCTATACTTGAGGGCAAAAGATTTTGGCCTAAACATGTAAAAGAAGCCAATCTAATGTTCATGTGCTACAGCAATAGAAATAGAAATGTCTTAGACATATAAAGCCTCAGAAATAATATCCACTTATTTTTCTTTGAAACAGTATTTGAAGACCTATTAAAGTCAATCCAAAATTTTATCAAAATAAAAATGTCAGTAGTAAGAAAGTATTATTATTATTTTTGAGACAGAGTCTCACTCTGTTTCCCAGTCTGGAGTGGAGTGGCACGATCTTGGCTCACTGCAACTTCCACCTCCGGGGTTCAGGTGATTCTCGTGTCTCAGCCTCCCAAGTAGCTGGGATTACGGGCACACACGACCACACCCGGGTAATTTTAGTATTTTTAGTACAGACAGGGTTTTACCATGTTGGCCAGACTGGTCTCAAACTCCTAACCTCAGGTTATCTGCCCATATAGGCCTGCTGAGACTACAGGTCTGAGCCACTGTGCCTGGCCCAGAAGGTAGTATTATAAAAAATGAAGTGATGTTATTCATAGCAACCACCTAAACAGAGATTTAGTCAATAAAATTGACATATATATTTATATTTACTAAATCCTTGGCTTTCTGATGACATTTCCTTTAAAATATATATTTAAACAATTTACTGGATAAAACAGGCTTAAGCCACAACTTTTTCCCCTTCGAATTTCTTTAGATCATGCACATTAGTATCCTACTGCTGCTGTAACAAGTTACCGCACACTTAGTGGCTCAAAACAACACAGATTTATTTTCCTACAGTTCAGGATATCAGCAGTCTGAAATCAATGTCACTGGGCTAAAATAAATGTGTTACCATATTTGGTTCCTCCGAGAGTCCCTAGTGGAGAATTCATTTCCTTTTCCAGTTTATAGGGAACTTCTACATTCCTTGGCTCATGCCTCCTTCCCCCAACTTCAAAGCCAGTGCAATAGCATCTTCTCTTCTCTCTGATTCTTTCATCGTTTCTCTGACCCTGATATTGTTCCCTCTTTTAAGGACCTTTATGATTACATTGGGTCGAGCTGGATAATCTAGGGTAATCTGCTCTCCTCAAAATCCTCCGTTCATCACACCTCTGAGGTGCCCTTTACCTTGTAAGCTTGGGTAATCACAGATTCTGGGGCTTACAATGTGGCCATCTTTGGTTGTTGGGGAGCAGGTACATTATTCAGTCTACTACATTGTTCCCATTTATTCTGATACTTAGTATTCCAGAGGAAAAAAAAAAAGATGACATCACCTTTATTTTCTTTTTATTAAATATTTAGTTTTCTTTTATTATTATTATTATTATTATACTTTAAGTTTTAGGGTACATGTACACAATGTGTACATTAGTTACATATGTATACATGTGCCATGCTGGTGTGCTGCACCCGTTAACTCGTCATTTAGCATTAGGTATATCTCCTAAAGCTATCCCTCCCCTCTCCTCCCACCCCACAACAGTCCCCAGAGTGTGATGTTCCCCTTCCTGTGTCCATGTGTTCTCATTGTTCATTTCCCACCTATGAGTGAGAATATGCGGTGTTTGGTTTTTTGTTCTTGCGATAGTTTACTGAGAATGATGATTTCCAATTTCATCCATGTCCCTACAAAGGACATGAACTCATCCTTTTTTATGGCTGCATAGTATTCCATGGTGTATATGTGCCACATTTTCTTAATACAGTCTATCATTGTTAGACATTTGGGTTGGTTCCAAGTCTTTGCTACTGTGAACAGTGCCACAATAAACATACATGTGCATGTGTCTTTATAGCAGCATGATTTATAGTCCTTTGGATATATACCCAGTAATGGGATGGCTGGGTCAAATGGTATTTCTAGTTCTAGATCCCTGAGGAATCGCTACACTGACTTCCACAATGGTTGAACTAGTTTACAGTCCCACCAACAGTGTAAAAGTGTTCCTATTTCTCCACATCCTCTCCAGCACCTGTTGTTTCCTGACTTTTTAATGATCGCCATTCTAACTGGTGTGAGATGGTATCTCATTGTGGTTTTGATTTGTATTTCTCTGATGGCCAGTGATGGTGAGCATTTTTTCATGTGTTTTTTGGCTGCATAAATGTCTTCTTTTGAGAAGTGTCTGTTCATGTCCTTTGCCCACTTTTTGATGGGGTTGTTTGTTTTTTTCTTGTAAATTTGTTTGAGTTCATCGTAGATTCTGGATATTAGCCCTTTGTCAGATGAGTAGGTTGCGAAAATTTTCTCCCATGTTGTAGGTTGCCTGTTCACTCTGATGGTAGTTTCTTTTGCTGTGCAGAAGCTCTTTAGTTTAATTAGATCCCATTTGTCAATTTTGGCTTTTGTTGCCATTGCTTTTGGTGTTTTAGACATGAAGTCCTTGCCCATGCCTATATGGGACCAAAAAAGAGCCCGCATCGCCAAGTCAATCCTAAGCCAAAAGAACAAAGCTGAAGGCATCATGCTACCTGACTTCAAACTATACTACAAGGCTACAGTAACCAAAATAGCATGGTACTGGTACCAAAACAGAGATATAGATCAATGGAACAGAACAGAGCCCTCAGAAGTAACGCCGCATATCTACAACTATCTGATCTTTGACAAACCTGAGAAAAACAAGCAATGGGGAAATGATTCCCTATTTAATAAATGGTGCTGGGAACACTGGCTAGCCGTATGTAGAAAACTGAAACTGGATCCCTTCCTTACACCTTACACAAAAATTAATTCAAGATGGATTAAAGATTTAAATGTTAGACCTAAAACCATAAAAACCCTAGAAGAAAACCTAGGCATTACCATATTTAGTTGTTTTAAAATCAGTATAAAAATGTCCTATTTTTATTTTTCAAAATTTTTGAAATAATATGGTAGTGGATTTCAATGGTAAATGTGTTGGACCCCGTTCTTCTTCCCTTTGCCAGAAAACTTTGCAATCCCTGCTTCAGTGGGGCATGTACTTCTGAGCCCCTTATCTTTAGTCTTGGCCAGCTGACTTGTGCCTCAAACTCATTTCATGACTCCCACTTGCCCTGATCTACCCACATGTACCACGCTTAAGTCACATGCACATATAGCATTTCTTTAGCCTTGAAGATTAATCCTCCCTCTTGGGATACAATCTTTTCATCCTCCAGGTCACTTTCTTAGGGTTACCTTTTCTGACACGTAGACAAAATTTTACTGTCTAGCAGCCTTTTACTGCTGTTCAGTCTCTTTAAGCCAGTGGCTGAGACACAAGACTCCTGTGTTTGACTGTTCTTGGGAACATAACTCATTCAGCAAATATTTCTTGTGCATTCACTAAATAGTATCTTCCAACTACTCTTCATCCCAGCAAAATGTCCCATCTCCCCAAAACAGCCCCTGTTGACTGAAGTGGTAGGATCGGCTCAGGCAGCCTGGCAGCTGTATCTGGAAATCTGTTTTCTACCTATATGTATGTACTCACACATATCTGGAGCATATACCTATAGTTCTTTTTTTGAGTCTGGTACTACAGCTCTTAGCAATGACTCCACAATTTAATGAGTTCTTCTATACCCTGCTTTCATTTTAACATAATCCTTCATCTCCCCCATTGTATATGTATATGGTTAGGATTAATTTACTATTTACTTTAGATTCTGTAGACTCACAACTGCTAAGGTTATGTCTAGGTAGACGGCCTTGACAGGAGTCGGGGCTTGCTAGCAACATGGACAATCAGAGGATCCTGGGGCATCTGACAGATAAATAAACAAGATAGTTTCTCAACAATTTGTACAGAATTTTGCCTTCAGAAAATACACTTGGTGCCGAAAGGCCCTCTGGGACCACTTTGCAGTACGCCAGGACTGACTGATGAGCCCGAGAGCCAGTGCTCATTGGAGAAAGCTTACTGTGTCATTCCTCATCTCATTTCCCACCTGCCAGGCAGAATGTGATGGCCTGGATGACAGCTGACACCCTGAGATGGCTGTGAGATTTCATTTCTTTGCACAATGAGGGCACAGAACTGCTCAGTTTGGCTGGGAGACGCATTGTTTCTAATGATTATGTAGAAAAGGAGAGAGCCTTCAAACTGTTAAAGAATTCTACTTTGTAGTTATGGTCTCCTTGTGACTTTGAGCTCAGCCGTGTGTCCATTTCTTTGACTGACACTAAGGACACAGTGTACTCATCTGTAGACCACCCCTTCTTCCCCATCCTGGACAAGAGGGGAGTGTAAATGGCTTCTTTCTTAGTTAAATTCCTGCCGATAAAGATGCCTCCTGGCACCATCGGCAGCCTCCCTATCTCTCTCCTTTGTGCTCCTGTTCCTTGAGGCATATCTCTTCCCCCTTATCAAGAAGGGTTACAAGATTCAACATGTTTATACAACTTTTGGATGACTTATCTTCCTAGAAATCTTCCTCTCTCTTTGTGACAGTCTACAATAAACCTAGCATAAACTCTGGTTGCATTGATCACATGCAATGATCACATGCCAATCACAAAGCTTGTGATTTTTGGCACATTAAGCTGACAACTTTGTTGGCCTCAAGATGTGCTGTAGCAATAATGTTCTTTCTTAAAACTAGCACGACACTAGACTGAAACTCCACAAGATAGACACTGTATATTTTGCTCACAGCTATATCCTTAGCAAACCATGAATTCTTTTGACCATGGTAAATTTTGAATAATGAATGAGTAAATGGTCTCCTTGGCATCCTCTGCAAAGACTTCTGATTTCCTGCTGCTGCTCTTTGCCTGCCTCCCTCAATGTTTTATGTCAAGTGAAGTGAAAGTAGAAAGAATAGGTTATATATGGTTGGTAAGCAGGTCTTCTCAGTTGTTTTCTGGCATCTCTCTTAAATACCCTTTGCCCTGAAAGTGCTCTGGCACCAGTGAATTTGGCATTGTGACATCTTCTTCTTGCCCTTCTGTTGCTTGCTCTTTGGGTCTGTATTTTACAAACATCTAGCTTTGTAGTATTAGAATTTCAATTTGAATTAAATTAAACAAAAATATCTCTTCTTTTGTCTGGGGGAAGCTTCTTCTGCTGTGTCCTTTCTGGAGGAACTTTCTCCCCAGTGTGTGGAAAATACCTGCCAGTAACTTTCATGCCTCTCATCTCAGAATCTCTGTCCCAAAGTGGTATATGGAAAATCATGGGAGAGACTTAGGTTGGCTTGGCTTGGATCACACACCTACCCATGGACCCCCCAAGGTGACCAGAAGACTGAAGTATTGATATGATAAATTCTTTCTAGTGAGAAAATTAAATGATACCCTAAATGAGTCAATATATTTTTTGGGAAAGTGGGGGCTATTATGCAGTGTCTGATAGTATAGTAGGAGAAGATAGTGATTATTTCCTAACATACCTATGAAGACCAAGTTTGCCTTAAGTTACATTGTCCTTTACATCATTGAACCCAGGCCAGGCATGGTGGCTCATGCCTGTAATCCCAGCACTTTGGGAGGCCGAGGTGTGTGGATCGCCTGAGGTCAGGAGTTCAAGACCAGCCTGGCCAACATGGTGAAACCCAGTCTCTAATAATATAAAAATTAGCCAAGTGTGGTGGCATGCCCCTGTAATCCCAGCTACTCAGGAGGCTGAGGTAGGAGAATCACTTGAACCTGGGAGGCGGAGGTTGCAGTGAGCCAAGATCTCACCATTGCACTCCAGCTGGGGCAACAAGAGCGAAACTCTGGCAAAAAATAAAAAACAAAAAACAAAACCAAAAAAAACCTCACGGAACCCAGCTATAATAGCTATTCTTTAAATCACTATCTACTAATGCTAACATCTGGCACATCTTGGAGTCAATTTCTATGGATTATCTTTTCTCTTGGCAATGGGTCACATTTTCTCATTGAGTTAGTCCGTTTTGCATTGCTATAAAAGAATACCTAAGACTGAGTAATTTATAAGTAAAAAGTTTATTTGGCTCAGGGTCTGCAGGCTATAAACGCATTGCATCCACATCTGCTTGGCTTCTGGTGAGGCCTCAGGAAACTTACGATCATGATGGAAGGTGACGGGAGAGCAGACATGTAACATGGAGTGAGAGAGAGCAAGAGAGAGAAGGAGGAGGTGCAAGGCTCTTTTAAACAACCAGATTTCACATGAACTTATCAAATGAGAACTCACTCGTTACCACAAGGACAGCACTAAGACACTCATAAGGGATCTGCCCCCATGCCCCCAATACCTACCACTAGGCCCACCTCCAACATTGGAGGTAACATTTCAGCATGAGATTTTGAAGGAACAAAACATTCAAACCATATCACACATTTTATAATATGTCTACTAATTTCAGATTGTATACTGGACATAGTGAACATTGTGTTACAGAGTCTCTGAATTCCATTGTATTTTTCCAAAGAGCATTGATTTTATTGTTTTAGCAGGCAATTAAATGAATGAGCTAAACCTGAAAACTTTGTATCTTAGGCAGCAACTCTAATTTGTTTTAGTTCTTTTCTCCTTTGCTTGACTGTCTTATGCATGCATGCTTCAGGGTTCAACCAGAGATTTGGGCAGATATTATTTTAAAAATTTAGAATTTCCCTTTTTAAGTTCTCTCCTTCCTAGGATTCCTCCACTCACATTCTATTGGCTGTAATTATCCCAAACTTTGTCCTAGAGTTCTTTAGGCCAGAAAGACCGTGGATTTTCTATAAGAGTTTTAGATGTCTTTCATCTCAATGGGGACCTATGTTAGTCTGCATTTAAATCAAACTCCCAATCAGACTAATTGATCATTAAACATTTTTAATGTGCTCTCTTTGGGTTTGTAAAAAGAGGCACCTTTTTCCAAAGAGAAGTGGAAAGTGGGGAGACCGGAGCTTAGAACTGCAGTCAACAGTTCTGTGACCTCCAGCAAATCACCTAGTCCATCTGACATATAGTTTCCTCATTTGGAAAATAAGGTATCTGCCTCAAAGATCTTTAACACTAATGTATCTCCCAGTTCTAACATTCTATGATTTTCATGATGGGATGGCTTTGAGAAAATGAAGACCAGCTGCCATTCCTCTTTTTTAAAAAACAGCTTGCATTGTGGTATAACTGGAATATAAAAAATTGCACAAACTTAAAGTATTAATATACAATGTGATGGATTTTGATGTATGTATCGAAACCATCACCACAACCCAGATGGTTAGCATATCCATCACCTCCAAATTAACTTGTGTTCCTTTGTGATCCCTTCCTTTGCCTCCTCCCTTCATCTCCTTCTCCCCAAACAGCAACTACTAATCTGCTTTTGGTTACTACAAATTAGTATGTAGTGTCATCTTATTGTGGTTTTTATTTGCATTCCCCTAATGTCTAATGATGTTGAGTATCTTTCCGTGGATTTATTTGCCATTTATATTCCTTCTTTGATAAAGTGTCTTTCAAATATTTTGCCCATTTATTGGATGGTTTGTTTTCTTATTATTTGTTTTTAGAAGTTTAAAAACTATTCTGTCCTTTATCACATATATTCATTGCAACTATTTTCCTTCAATTTTTATCTTTTTTCTATCAGAGGAGCCCACCCCCAGTATTTCAACACAGGTTCTATTTTCCATAAGTGTCGGCTGGCTGAGAAATAAAGAGAGAGTACAAAGAGAGGAATTTTACAGCTGGGCCGCTGGGGGTAACATCACTTATCGGTAGGACCGTGATGCTCACCTGAGCCTTAAAACCAGGAAGTTTTTATTAATGATTTCAAAAGGGGAGGGGGTGTATGAACAGGAAGTAGGTCACATGCTTCAAGGGGCAAAAAGCAGAACAAAGATCATATGCTTCTGAGGAAACAGGACAAGAGGAAAATCAGAACTCCTGATAAGGGTCTATGTTCAGTGGTGCACGTACTGTCTTGATAAACATCTTAACAGAAAACAGGGTTTGAGAGCAGAGAACTGGTCTGACCAAAAATTTGCCAGGATGGAGTTTCCCAATCCTAGTAAGCCAGAGGGTACTGCAGGAGACCGGGGCATATTTCAGTCCTTATCTCAACTGCATTGGACAGACATTCCCAGAGCGGCCATTTATAGACCTCCCCCCAGGATTGAATTCCTTTCCCAGAGTATTAATATCAATATTCCTTGCTAGGAAAAGAATTTAGCGATATCTTCCCTACTTGCACATCTGTTTATAGGCTCTCTGCAAGAAGAAAAATATGGCTCTTTTTGTCCAACCCCGCAGGCAGTCAGACCTTATGGTTGTCTTCCCTTGTTCCCTAAAAATCGCTGTTATTCTGTTCTTTTTCAAGGTGCACTGATTTCATATTGTTCAAACATAAATGTTTTACAATCAATTTGTACAGTTAACAAAATTATCACAGTTGTCCTGAGGTGACGTACATCCTCCCCTTATGAAGATAACAGGATTAAGAGATTAAAGCAAGACAGGCATAAGAAATTATGAAAGAATTAATTTGGGAACTGATAAATGTCCATATTAAAATGAAATCTTCACAATTTATGTTCCTCTGCTGTGGTTCCAGCCAGTCCCTCTGTTTGGGGTCCTTGACTTCCTGCAACATTTTTCATTTTCTCAACAGCATCCTTTGGAGAGCAGATGTTATGTGGAGCCTGAATTTCTGACCCACAAAATTGTAAGACCCTATGAAATGATATGGAGTTTAAATCATTAAGTTTCAGTGTAGTTTATTATATAGCAATACATTTTCAGAATGTAAACTATGCAATCTTGAATCAGGTGAGGAATGAAGAAGAAAGGGAACAGAAAGGGAGTCAGGCAACTGATACAGTGATTAAAACTGCTGCTTGCCTCACCCAAGTCATCTACCCCTTTGGGAATTTCGGCCACTCAAATATTTCAGATCTGAAGAAAGAGATGAAAATGTAGCTGCTTCTCTGCATAAGTCTACCCTCTCTTCTAAGTTACCTATTTTGGAAAGTAGAAGATTGCTAACCAAGAAGGCAGATCCCTGAGACTCCTCTGAAGTTGGTGAGTCTCCTCTAGCGTTGGAGTGTCATGGTCTCCACCAAAGCATTGAAATGGGATGGGATTTCCGCCATTGCTCCTGGAAGTCCAGCCTCTAACCAGTCCTCTCCTTTTCCTCACCAGGGCCTTAAGCTATCTCTATCTATGTATCTGTTAAAATATTCTTAAGAAATAACCCAGTATCATTTATCTTTTAAGGTGGTCTTAATTTTGCTTTTTTTCCATTTCTTATCCTGTGCTAATTATTTTCTATAAAGATTGATCTTCTGTGGAGAATTCCATGGAACACCTTTCATTCATTCACTTATTTAAGTTTTCATTCACTTACCCTACAAGTATTGTCTGTATGGACAATGGGGAACAAGTTGTAGTCCCTGCCTTCAGGAAGCTTGTAGAGTCATTTTATAGCCTTTTGGGCAACTGTGGGTATTAGGATGGGGTCTTCCTAGATATCTTTTGTCTGTCTGCCCAAGTTCCCCTGTAAAACATTCTCAATTAACATATGCCACTCCTAATAAGAGCATATGGGTCTGAGGGCCGCTGAGGGTCTTTCAGTTGAGAAGCAGAAGTGTCTTGTTTTTCTTCCACAGAAGAAGTACGGGAGGGAGTGTTAACTTTCTATATAAATGATATTCTCAGACTACAGTTGAAGGACAGTTGCTTTGCTCACAGAAATGCCTCTGGCACCTCAAGTTGATAGGTTTGGAAATCCTCAAATATCTTCCTTTTTTCTGACAGTGAAATTTGAAAATGAATATTTTGATGTGAATTCCTGCCCTAAGTGGTACCTGAACATTTGCAGACACAATGTAATTAGAGTGTTGGTTGGTGCTTATAGGATGTGAGTTGTCAAGAACTAGCTCAATTTACTGTAGAAATAAAAATCATAGTGAACAAAGTTGTTAGCAAAGTTCTTTTTGCTTCAAAATACAGAATAACACATCACACAAGAAAATGGAGGTCTCTAATTAGAACAAAATCCAAGTGTCTTCTTTCTGCCCTGAAGTCACAAAGCCACGTATGATGGCAAGAACAGTTCTCAAAACCCAAACAGACTGTCACAGTGAAAGGCCAGATTCTTTCCCCCTTCAGCTGAAAAAGCCTGTTAATGCTTTATGTTTTTGTTTATAATTGTCTAAAAAATAATTTGGGGACATTAAAGGAAATATAATAGTTAGAACAGCTAAATTATTTGAAGAACCTGAAATGTTTTAGATTATATAAGCATGCACTTAAAATTACTTGGAGCATTTTTTATTGTAAAAGTCATACATATTAATTGTTGTAAATCTTAAAAATACAGATAAACAAAGATTATTTTACTGAACCATCAGCGATTACTATTTTGTCCCATAGTTTTTCAGTCTTTTTCCTTTATTTGCTTTTATGTGTTTTAATTGCATAAAGAATATAAAATTAAATTCAAGATATAAAAAATAACAGAAAGATACAGTATAAGAGAAGTAAGTGGGCCGGGTGTGGTGGCTCATGCCTATAATCCCAGCACTTTGGGAGGCAAAGGAAGGCAGATCACCTGAGGTCAGGAGTTCAAGACATGCCTGGACAACATGGTGAAACCCTGTCTGTACTAAAAATACAAAAACTAGCTGGGCATGGTGGTGTGTGCTTGTAATCCCAGCTACTCTGGACGCTGAGGCAGGAGAATCACCTGAACCCAGGAGGCGGAGTTTGCAGTGAGCCAAGATTGTGCCACTGCACTCCAGACTGGTGACAGAGTGAGACCCCTTCTCAAAAAAAAAAAAAAAAAAAAAAAAAAAAAAAAAAGTGTGTCTTCATTCAGATAACCACCATCATGAGTTTGTTGTCAAGCACCTTTCTTTTTTTACTATGCTTATATAATGTATTTACAAAAAATGGGATTATACTCTACAGTCTTCTTTATGACCTAACATTTATCTGATCATATATATTTTATAAGATCTTTTACATCATCATTTCACATGTTTTAATGGAATGGACATAGAGATTTAATTACATAGTCACTTATTAATAGATATTTAGATTGGTTCCAAGACCATCCACATAGTATATGAATATTTATATATCTCCATAATTGGTTCCTTGGGATAAATTTACAGAGAGAAATGTTGGATCAAATTTTTTTTAACTTTTAAGGCTTCTCTTGAGATTGAAAAATTTGCCCACCAGAAGAGTTTTATAAATTTATATTTCTAGCAGCAAAGTATGAAAAAAGCCTGTTTTCTTTACAGTTAGTTGTCAATGCTGAGTGTTGTTTTTGATCTTCTCTGTGATTCTAAAAATAGTATGATTGTAATTTATATTTCTTTGATTGCTAGTAGACTGTAAGTATGCAATTTTATAGGAAACAATAAAATAAGTGCTTTTAGTATAATACCCAGGGCTTAGCTGGATAACTTATTTAAGTGATACAAAGTGGGAAAGTTACTGTTTAGCACTCTGTAAGATGAAATGGGATGTGTGGCAAAAATTAATCAGAGATCCCATGTCAACAGCCTGACTCCAGGCTTATTTCTCATAACAACTGGCAACAGAATGAGAGGTGCTGGGAGCTGACTGAAGCAAGGAAGCCCTTTGTGGTGCAGTGTTGTATTTGAACTGTGATCATTTTTGGCCTTGGGTTCTCTGGTGTTTTGACTTTCTAACTGACTAGACAGCAGGACAACCTCTTTAAATCCTTTTCTTTTTTTAGGAAAATGGCACCAACCAAATTTGGAGTTAATTTTGCAATTGGACTTAATTTTGAAAAACTATTATTTCTCCTCTGCCTAACTCAGTAGTTCTCAACCACAGACTGAACATTCAACCCACCTGTGGGGCTTTTCCAACAGTTTAGTCTGCTCACCCTCTCTGTCCTCTTTGTTAATAAAAGCAGATCCAGTCGTTTGTTGCGTGCAGAGTTCAATTAACAACAGTAGGGTCTTGTAGAAAGAGTGACTTTATTTCAGAGCTAGCAGAGGGGAAGTAGTATAGGCTTCTGTCTTGAAGATACCATTTCGGTTTCAGGGTAGAAAGCTGGGGCTTTTAAAGAGAGGGTTGGCATGAACAGCATGCAGGGGAGGGTACAAAGAGGTGAGGGGTCTGTGTGACTTGCTTCCAATGTCTTATCTATCAGGTCTGGCTGGTGTCATAGCAGGCAGAGCTAGGCTGTAAACTGAGCCAATCTCCTGGTGGGAGAGAGTTCCAGAGGCACCTGGTTTGCTTCAAGATTCAGTCTCTGGAACTTCCAAGCACACAGTTAGTTAAGCTTGCCTGTATAGGGAGTGTCTGTTGGAGAGAAGGGAAAGGTTATAATTGTATTCCCAAAGAGCTAAGTAGGAGGTGGGGGAAAAGGGAAAAGGGGAAAAATATTTAATTCCCTTTTAAAAATTGGATACTCAGTTATACCCTCAAGCCAATTAAATGAGAATCTCTGGACCATGGGGCATGGGCATGGTAGCGTTTTATTGAAAGCTCCACAGTACGACTCTACCATGCATCCAGGCTAGAGAACCTCTGGAGTAATTTATTTCCGTCCTTCATTATCACAGGAACCACTTCTCTTCACCTATTCCCCCTCCCTGTGTGCACATGTCTTTTCCCCAGCCAGTTCTAAGCTGCATTTCATTGAGAAGAATCAAAACAACAATATGAGGAAACAACATATAGGTTTCTTAAGCACTTAAACCTAATAGTGATAAATGCCACAAAGATGCCTTCTTGTTGAATAAGTACTCCATCTTGTAAGGGGCAGTTCAGTTTGTTCTATGCATAAAATCAATTTCAAATATGTATTACCTCCAACAAAGAAATCATTCACTTAGCTGCAAGTATGTGCGTCTAAAGGTTCATCCAGAGGACTGGGAATGGATAGTGGTGTTGAGAACAAGCCTGCAATGCTGGAGAAAGCTTCCTGTGAGGAGCTCTGTCCTGACCTCTGGCCACTGGTCCACAATCTCAGATCTATCTCCTTTGTTTTCTTGCTGACCCCTAGGCTATGAAAATCAACAATCCTGCTGGCTAGTCTGACCCATGGCTTCCACTCTCCAATCTATTTCTCCTCATGTTGGCTCTGATGTAGGTCTCTCTAGCTTCCCTCTAGACTCTCAGTGCTCATTTAAAATGTTTATCTTTCCCCCATGGTTCTGAGCAGAAGAGAGTATCCACAAGCCAGAAAGGAAGTCTGCTCCCCTAGCAACAACAGTCTACTTTTTCTATGGTCTTCTCCAGTTCCCTCTTTGGAAAGCTTCCCCATTCTCTAGAACAGTGGCCAAGAGACAAAACAGCATTTGATATGCAAAGCCGATGTTTAGTATTCAAATAGTGCTATCCCAGAAGAAAAGTTCTTCTCAGCACTTTAAAATTCTTTGACTCTTTTCTGTTTCAATACTTGTGGCTTTGCTTCCACTTGCTGCTGGGGGAAACAGGAATGTGGTGTAAAGAAAATGAAATAGTGGTCAAATACCTGCAGGCACTCAGGAGACTTTAGCAAGTCTTACCTCTCCGAGCTTTAACATCCTCATCAGTAAAGTCCATAATAATTGCTACATTGCTGATTCCATAGAGTCGCAAATGAGATGACATATGGGAATATGATTTGAAAACAGTGAGGTGATAAACACTTCAATTTATAAACAATAAAATGCACAGACCTAAAGTTCAGGACATTTTAACAAATATATGCACTTGTATAACTAATACCTAAAGCAAGATACAAAAGCTTACCTGTGGAAAATCCCTCCTTGCTCTTTTCCAGTTAGTCCATACTGTACCTTTCCCAATCACCACAGGCAACCGCTATTCTGATTTCTAGGACCATTGATTGAGTTTTCCTGTCTTTCAATTTTATTTAAATGGGACTATATACTATGTATTCTTTATATTTGACTTTTTTCTCTAATGTTATGTTGATGAGATACATCCATGTTTTGTGTACCATTTCTTTTATTGCTGATGAGTACTTCACGGTATGAATGTATCATGCTTTGTTCATCCATATTCCTGTTAATGAATATCTGTGTTATTTTTCATTTTAGCTATTATGAGTAAATTGACGATGAATATTATACATGTTATTTTGTGGATATACACTTTTTTGGAATACACATTTTTCTTGAGTATGTACTCAAAGTGGAACTGCTGGGTAATAGGGTAGGTGTTTATCTTTGTAAGAAGCTGCTGCTAAACTGATTTCCAAATTAGTTGTATGAGAATTCAGGTTGTTCCACATTCTTGCCAATCTCTTTGATTTCTTTAATTTCAACCACACTAGTGGATTTCAATATACTTTTAATTTGCATTTCCCTAATACTAATTGTCTTGTCACATGCTTAGTGGTCATTTGTATATATTCTTTGGTGAAGTGTTAAATCTTTGCTTATTTTTAAAAATAGGTTACTGATTTGTAGGAGATCTTCATATAGTTTGAATACAATTATGAGATATATGCATTATGAATATTTCTTTCATATTATGGCTTGTTTTTTCATTTTTTTAATTATTTTCTTTTGAGTAGGAAACATTTGAAATTTTGACAAAATCTAATTTGTTTTTTCCTTTATGGTTGGTGATTTTTTTGTCTTATATAAGAAATATTTGCTTAAACCATGGCCACAAAAAATATTTCCCTAGGTTTTCTATTTCACTGCTGCTCAAAAACTTGATATATGTTGTGCTTTGGTGTGGTTTCTTCATATTTCCTCTTCTTGATGTTAATTGAGACTCTTGTATTTATGAGTTTATAGTTTTCATCAAATTTGACAGATATCAGTTGTTTCTTCAGATGTTTTTTCTGCCTTCTCTTATTTTCTAGGACAATTATACAAATGTTAGGGGGACTGATGTTGTCTCATAGTTCACTGATACTCTGTTCATTATTTTCTTCAGTCTTTTTACTTTCCAAGTTTCATTTTGTATAATTTCTATTGCTATATCTTCCAGCTCACTAAATTTTTCTTCTGCAATATTTGATCTTCTGTAAATGCCATCATTGTATTTTTTTCCTCAGACACTGTATTTTTTGTTTAGAGGTTAAAAATTGGTCTTTAAAAAATATCTTCCATGTCTTTTCTCATCATGCTCTAGTTTTTTCCTATGATGGAATATATCTATAATCACTCTTTTAATGTCCTTTTAAAAAATTCTATCATTTGCATGATTTCTGAGTTCATTTTTGTTGACTGATTTTTATCTTGGTTATGGGTTTTATTTTTCAACTTCTTTGCATGCCTACTAAATTTTTACTGGGTATCAGACACTTTGAATTTTACATTGTAAGGGTGTTAGCTTTTTTGGTATTTTTTGAAAATAATTTTCACCCCAGGACACAATTAAGCTTACCTGAAGCTAGTTAGATCACTGTGAGGCTTGTTTTAAGGTTTGTCAGGTAGATCTACAACAGCCTTTAGTCTAGGTCTTTACTACATGCTTTGTGTGTTAGGCCTTCTACTTTGTTTTGGGGAAACAAACGTCTTCTAACTCTGAATGAACTCCAGGATTTTTGTTTCTGCTCCTTTCTGGTAGTCCTTTTTCCAGCTTTACTAGTTTCCTTATATGAGTGCTCTGATTAGTATTCTGCCAAACACCTAACAGGAGTCCTTTCTGAAGTGATCTACTTTTCAGTATTTCTCCTCACCAATTCTACCTTCCTTGGTAGATAAGATAAGAACTAAGAAGAGAGTTCCAACTCTCTACTTAAAGATCTTCCAACAATCTTTCAACTCAATGAAACTTATGGGCTCTGTCTAGGAATTACAATACATATCCTCACTATATCACACACTGTCTTGAATTAATATTACACCACTTCATTTATAATATAAAAAACCTTATGAAAATGTAATTCTATTCCCCAAGTTTTTGTGCTATCATGGTCATATGTTTAATCTCTACATGTGATATAAGTCCTTTATAACCGTCAAATATCTACTAAAGAAATTTAAATAATACAGTTTTTACATTACATATTGACTATTTCTAGCACTCTTTATTTTCCCTACAATTTCAAGTTTTCATGTGATACCATTTTCTTTCAGCATAAGATTTCCCTTAGCATTTCTTCTAGAGGGAGTCTTCTGCAAATCGATTCTTTTTGACTTCTTTTAACAAAAAGTGTCATTTTGTCTTCATTTGTGAAGAGTATTTTTCGATGGATATATGCAATCCTAGGTACATACTGTTTTTTACATTAAAAATTCATTCCATTATTTTCCCGCTTCTACATTTCCCGGTAAGTTAGCTTCCTTTCTTATCATTGGGCACCTCTTTAAAATGTATACTTTTCTTCTCTCAGGCTAATTTAGATTTCTTCTTTTATTTTTTGTTTTCAAACATTGTACTATGTTGTGAAATAGGTGTAATTTTCTTTGAATTTATCTGGCTTGGGTTTTGCTGATCTTGTGTCTGTGGGCTGATTTTTTTACCTCACCAAAATTGGGGAAAAAAATGAAATTTATTTCTTCAATTTTTTTTATAACTCTTTTATTTTTTTCTCTCCTGAGTCTGTGCTGACCAGTAATAGTTCTTCCAAGAGTTGAGTTAAACTTATTCTGGGCTAAAGTTTAAATTAGACTGAATTATCCTCTGGTTAACATAACCCACAACTTCCATATTTCTTGGTGATGAGGGATTGAGCTTCTTGATATTGCCAACATTTGAATTCAGAAGGGATTGGGTCACTGTATGTAAGAATAGTCTCTACCAATTACATTTTCCACTTTCTGTTTCTTGGCATAATTTAGGGGATATAGGAAGAGTTGTCAGGATAAAAAATTATTTTTGCACTTTTGGCTTTTTCACATTTTAATACGTCCTATTGACTCACAAAATTTTAAGTTTTAAGTACTTTTAAAGCACTATAAAAATAAATAAAATTTATTTTTATTATTTTATTATTTTATTTTTTTTGAGACAGAGTCTCTGTCTCCCAGGCCGGAGTACAGTGGCATGATCTCGGCTTACTGTAACCTCTGCCTCCCTGGTTCAAGCAGTTCCCCTGCCTTAGCCTCCCAAGTAGCTGGGATTACAGGCACATGCCACCACGTCTAATTTTTTTGTATTTTTAGTAGACAGCATTTCACCATGTTGGCCAGACTGGTCTTGAACTCCTGACCTCAGGCAATCCACCCAGAGTGCTGGGATTACAGGCATGAGCCACCATGCCCGGCCAAAAATAGGTTCCAGCAGATCTCTAGAGCTTATTCATCTTGATTAACTTAATCTTTATGCCCATTAATTAGTGACTCTCCATTTGTCCCTCCACCCAGCCCCTGACAACCATTATTCTACTCTTTGTTTCTATAAATTTGATTGTATTAGAACCCTCATATA
Source organism: Homo sapiens (assembly GCF_000001405.40). Classification (NCBI taxonomy): domain Eukaryota; kingdom Metazoa; phylum Chordata; class Mammalia; order Primates; family Hominidae; genus Homo; species Homo sapiens. The sequence continues at coordinate 76,566,572 of NC_000013.11, read as the reverse complement.
AGTGTAATCATACAGTATTTGTCTTTCTGTAACTGACTTATTGCACTTAGTGTATTGTCCTCCAGGTTCATCTCTGTTGTCATATATTGCAGAATTTCCTTCTTTTTGAAGGATGATTACCATTTCACTGTTTGTATATACCACATTTTCTTTATCAATTCACCTTTAGATGGATATTTAGGTTGTTTTTACATCTTGGCTATTGTGAATAGTGCTGCAATGAACATGGCTGTGTTAATATCTCTTCAAGATCCTGATTTCATTCTTTTGGATAAATACTCAGTAGTGGGATTGCTGAATAATATGGTAGTTCTATTTTTAATTTCTTGAAGAACATCTTTACTGTTTTCCACAGTGGCTGCATCATTTTGTATTCCCAGTAACAGTGTGTAAGAGTTCTGATTCTCCACATCTTCACCAACATATGTTGCCTTTTCTTTCTTTTCTTTTTTTTTTTTTTTTTTTTTGATAATTATCCTAACAGGTATGAGGTGATATCTCACTGTGGTTTTGATTTTCATTTCTCTGAAAACTAGTGATGTTGAGCAATTTTTTTCTTATTCATGTTGGCTATTTGTATGTCTTCTTTGGAGAAATTCAAGTCCTTAGCCCGTTTTAAAATTGGGTTATTTGCTATTGAGTTGAAGGAGGTGCTTATGTATTTTGGAGACTAACCACTTATTAAATATATGGTTTGCAAATATTTCCTCCAAATTTCTAGGTTGCCTTTTCACTCTGTCAATTGTGTCCTTTGCTGTGCAGAAGCTTTTTAGTTTAATGTAGTCCCACTGTTAATTTTTGCTTCTGTTGCCTGTGCTTTTGGTGTCATATTCATGAAATCATTGCCAAGAATAATGCCATGAAGCATTTTCCGTTTTCTTCTAGAGTTTTATAGTTTCACGTCTTAAGTCTTTAATCCATTTTAAGTTGATTCTTTTTATATGTTATAAGAGTACAATTTTATTATTCTGCATGTGAATATCAAGTTTTTCCAACATCATTTGTTGAAGAGACCCTCCTTTTCTCATTGGGTGTTCTTAGCGTCCTGACTCACATAGTTTTCAAAGCTTCCTATTTTTTAGGTCTCTTGAAGTATCTACTGTTTTATGGCTGTTCCATTTCTTTACCTATCTTCATCCAATCTGTTGTTTATTTCAGGTGTAGATGCTGCCGTGACTGTTATCTTGATTATGAAGGCTTTCCTCTCTTGAAATTTAGTTTATCATGTCTTCCTTTCATCTACCCCTACTTGATAACCCCATAGAAAACCCCTTTCCTCTCTTGAAATTTAGTTTATCATGTCTTCCTTTCATCTACCCCTACTTGTTAACCCCATAGAAAAGTATGACATTTTATTTAATCTTTTTTTGTTTTTATCATGAGAGTGAAATCAATTTGCATTATTTTATGCCATCACTAGAAGCAGAAGCCTTATGAAATACATTTAAATTACTCCTATTATTTCCAAGAATTCATCCAACTTTGGCTCCCTATTGCTGGTAGACTTCAAAAGGGATTGAAAATATATAAAGAAATCCTGAACGTCTAATACTTCCACTAAGAGGATGTTGCCTTTCCCTAGTTAAGTATGGACATTTTTTAAGTATGAAGAGAGAAAAAAATGAAATCTGTACAACCATCTCATTATATAAAAGTTATATTCTGGAACTATTTAGCTTTAATTTACTTTTCCATAAGACTTAATATTCACTGCCGTATTTTACTTTCAATCCACTGGAATCTTTTAGATCCTCACTTCCTTAAGATGACTAATTTTGATATTCATAGAATCAATCCCCCACATTTTATATTATTTCCTTTTGTTAATTATGAGGACAATCTCAAAGGTTCAACTGAAGTGCATTCAGTTGTTTAAATTGCTAAGCCATTTCGCTTCTTCCTAAGCTAATATTCTGAGAGAAAATAAAATTATAGTTCTGATGGAGACTACAGAACCAATCAAACAATAAGAATAGGAGCTGGTTCTTACTCAGTTCAGTTATTAGGACCTAGGAAACAAAACAGTCATTTTGTTTTACTGGTTATTAGTGTTCCTGTTCTCTGGCCTCCTTTATCCATTCAATAAACACTGAACCCTCTTTCCCCATTCTCATTAGGGGTAGAGATACAATAAAGAGTAAAAACACAGTCCCTCCCTTCAGTGTGTCCACCATCCACTGAGCAGAATGACAAGAAGTTAAGTAATTAAAATACTCAATGCCAAATTCCAAACAATAGGTGTTCTTAGAAGGTAGAACATTAATACAGGGAGGCATGAGTAACAATTCTGGCAGAGTAGATGTGACCTGTCTTAGATATATGGAGACTTCATATCAGAGCGAAAAGCAACAGACTGCCAAAGACCCACATTCTCACTGTGCCTTAAAACATTGAGTCAGAATCATCTCAGACTGTGACCCATCTCATAATTCTTTGTTTAAAGCTTCTTGTTTGGGAAGAAGGGGAAGGAACATAATCAGTTTCTGAGCAGGGTCCATGTCTGCTTTTGTTTGCATAGCCCTTGGGCTTAGGGAAGTAGCTGAATCACTTCACCTAGATTTTTGCAAAACTTCACAAAAATACAAGATCAACCACGATGCTCCAGAAGCCTCAACAAATAAAATGTTTTGTTACTTTAATTTTCTGGATAGATGAACTTCTTTCTTGTTTCCAATCTTAACAGTTAAAAATCCATCAAATTACATTAGTTTGTTTCCTCAGTAAATACAATTGAGAACAAATACAAGAACAGAATTCTAAATACGAATTCTAATAACCAATTTTTTTCAGACTTTAATGTTAATACAAGTCACTAGAGTACCCTGTTAAAATGTACTTCACAATTCAGTAGGTTTGGGGTGTGGCCCAATATTCTGAATTTCTGACAAGATCCTGCAAGCTGTTGATACTGCTGGTCCAACTGCCACCTTTGAATAGCAAGGTAATAAATGCTTCCTTGATGACAGAGTCCTGGCAGTCCTAGAATGTCATTTTTGTGGGTACATCTGTATTTATCACTTCATATCATTATCATTTAACACTTTTCTTGTACATTCATAGCCTTGGAATGCCAAAGGTGAAGGGAAACTTGAGAAATAAGATTAAAAGTTGTAGGTTCTGGTAGGTTACTTTTACTAATGGGCCCAATTCTTCTACCCCCGTATATTTGAACACTTCGCTGTGTAGCTTCATTGTGCCTCCTGTATCAGCCATGTGACTTGCTTTGCTTAATGGGATATTAGATATGGCACAAGCAGAGGCTTGAAGAGTGCTTGTGTGCTTGGGTTTGCCTTTGCTTGTTTCTGTGTTCCTCAGTTCAGCCTTCTGAAGAATGAGAAAGGCACCTGGCTTTATCGCCTTGCTGCCCTGGCCAACAGTCAGCAGACCATCAAAGATGTGAGTGAGCCCAGTCAACACTGGAAGAACTGCTGAACTCAACCCTGCCCAAATTGTTGACTTGTAAATTCATCAGCTAAATAAATAAATACCTATTGTTTTAAGGTCACGGTATTTTTGGAATGATTCACTACACCGAACTATTGGGGCAATAGATAGTGGATAATCTTTTTTTTGATGGAGGAAGGAGTTGCATAAAGGCAGGCATAGGGGTACCACAATCCTCATCCAATATATTTTTTCTCCCCAACACCCTAGAGCCTTTTTTTCTTCCCTTTCCAGTTGCTACTTTTGTCTGCCTAAACTTTGTTGCCAAACTTCATCTAGAGTCAGGAAAAGAAAAGTGTTTAAATCCTAGTAATGGGGCTTATTAACTCTGGATCATTGAACCTCTCTAGTTTCAATGTAATCGGTAGTACTACTTATCGCATAGGGTTATTGTGAGACGTGAACTCAGAAAATATAAATGAAGTGGTTAGCATGGTGCCTCACCCGTAGTAAACACACAATAAATGGTAGGCACTAAGAAAAAATTGGCCATAACAATTAAGGTTTTAGCAAAACAGGGTTAAATGCTAATTATACCTCCCTAGTAAAGGCTGACTACTAGATAATTAATTTAGATGGCAAATACAGTACATTTATTAAAGACTATTACGAGCCAGTATTTTGTGAGATATCAAGGAAGAGGAGAAAGATATGAGTAAATAAATAATGAAATTGCTCCGTTTTACCTTTCTGAGACTTAAGACAAAATAGACATAGGTTATTACAACACATTACTCAGTAGAATGTATTCTTTTTTAATAACAAAACCACAAATACAGGAGGAACAGAGCTTGTTATCAATTTCATGTCAATTTTGGCCAATTAAATCTCACTTGGTCTCTGGCATTTAATTGTCCAGTAAACTATCTCTGCATTCAGCTTACTTTATGAAAAACTTATTATTTCAGTTTTACCTTAATTTCACATTATGATGATTTTTTCTTTTTTTTAAAAAAAAAATCAGAGATGACAGACTGTCGTCAAGATACTGTTTAAGAAGATTTGTTTTCAATGGGTTGAGTTCCTGCCAGAATATGCTATTCAAATAGTTGCATAACATCTCTGAAGGACCAAAATATCTTACTTTTGTGGGTAACAATTTTATTTGTAACATTGATTCTATAAACTCATTATCTGAGTCTGGGCTAGTAAGTCTTTCTCTAAAGAATCTTAAATATTTTTCTAAAAGTTAATTTTATATGTAAAGTTCTACTCTTGGCAGCTGCATCAATTTTACCATGACTGTTTTCCTTAAATTGAACTGTATCTTATTTTAGTCAAAAAACAGAACAATTCTCTATTCAAAATGCTATTTGGAAGATTGTATAACTTCGTAAGTAAGATAGACTTCCAGGGATTTTCATTAGTAGTGAGGAAAGCAGGATGATTTAAATGACACCCACTTCATATTACTAGAATCGATTTTCCTGTGTGCCCCTTCTACCCTGTGACCTTTATTTCTGCTTTCTTATTTTGCAGACTGTTGGACACTGTATATTTCATGGTTTGGAAAAGACAATTACTTCTCTGTTATTCCCTCAATAATAAATAAAAGAACCTTAGAGGGGAAACAAATTACTTTTAGAAATATTAAGAGTGTCCATATGGTTAAAATTTGGAGAGTTCTGTCTTGAATTGATTCTGTTGATATATATTGGGAGTTTCCAGAACAATAAAGATTAGTATGAACTGGCTGGGCACGGTGGCTCACGCCTGTAATCCCAACACTTTGGGAGGCTGAGGTGGGTGTATCACAAGGTCACAGTTCGAGACCAGCCTGGCCAATATGGTGAAATCCTGTCTCTACTAAAAATACAAAAATTAGCTGGGTGTGGTGGCACGCACCTGCAATCCCAGCTGCTCAGGAGGCTGAGGCAGAAGAATCTCTTGAACCCCTGAGGCAAAGGTTGCAGTGAGCTGAGACTGCGCCACTGCACTCTAGGGTGGGTGACAGAGCAAGACTCTCAAAAAAAAAAATAGTATGAACCAAGAGAGATGGAAAGCAGTTTGTCTGATGTTTTATTTATTATTTTCTCTTTAGGACAACTCATTCAGATACTAAGATCCTGGAGGGATCAGAAACGGGAGGGGTGTATGTTTGACTTGACATGAATGGCATGCACCTAGGCATTTCAAGCTCGTAAGTTGGGCACCTAGTCTGCTGTACTGCTGGTCATGTCAGCATTGTCTGCAGTATGGAAAATGAGAGTCTTCTCTTGGGTGTTACGTTTGGGTAGACAAAGAGGAAAAGATAGTGAGTTTGGACTATATATATTGCTCCCAGCAGTACATAAAGAACAGTGTTCTGGGAGGGCAAGCAACAATAGTAAATTATGGATTGTAAAATGCAAATATGGAGAGAGGATTTTTCTGCTAGGCTTTAATCTTGAAGGGTTTTTAAAGCCTTTTAAAATTATGTGGCTTTCTACAGTCTTGAGCAAGAATGACAAATAGCCTAATTGTCAATATACAATGTACAGAAGGAAGATGGGGCATGGTAGATAAATAGCTGCAACTTAATAAGAAACAAAATAAAATGAAACTTTATATAGAAAAAGAAGCTGCAAAGTAGAATGCTGTTTTCTTAGCTTGAGGTAAAGCTTTATCAAACGGCTATTAATAATTAATTTTTTGTAAAATAGATATAGGCCTTTCACGTGACTCACATTAAATGTAAGATGCTCTTTATTGCAGAGATAGCTATAGCACTGGCAAATAGTTACAGTTCATAAAAATACAATTTTAAAAAGGCATTCTCCAAAGTTTTTCTTAACTTTTTCTTTTGGCTTTTTACATACTTATTTGTTGAAATATGTTGAGAATACATAAATATTAAAGGAGTATTACTTCTATTCTTAGTTTTCTACTTATGACACCCAAAATTTTAATAGTCTAGGTGGATTAATTCTCATAATTACAAATTTCATTATGCTTGATGACTAACCTTTTGGCAAACATTGGAATTCTGATCTCTTAAGAATCAGGCCAGGCACAGTGGTGCATGCCTGTAATCCCAGCACTTTGGGAGGCCAAGGCAGGTGGATCGCTTGAGCCCAGGAGTTCGAGACCAGCTTGGGCAACATGGCAAAACCCAGTCTCTACAAGAAATACAATAATAATAATAATAATAATAATAATAATAATAATAATAATAGCTAAGTGTGGTAGCACATGCTTGTAGTCCAAGCTCCTTGGGAGGCTGAGGTGGGAGGATTGCTTGAGCCTAGGAGGCCAAGGATGCAGTGAGCCGTGGATATGTCACAGCTCCCCAGACCCAGACAGTGAGATCCTGTCTCAAAAAATAAAAATAATCAGACATATGTATCCTATACAAGAAAAGGTATGAAGATGTAAATAATACAGCCTTAGGCTGCTGCATTTAGAAGTGTCCTGGCATCCGTCATAGTGGAACATGCTACCGATACGGATATCCAGAAATAGAAAAAGTTTCAGTGGAGGGCAAATGGAGAAAGAAGTCATTCTTAAAATCAAAGTAAATGACAGTGGCATTTTCCCAAATATATTGTAAGAAGCAATCTCCTTAGTAATAGACTTAATGAGGACTTTGCTCTTCAAAGTTTGAACTTTGATCAATTCCAGAGAGACTTGGAATTTTCTGTTTAGTGATAAGGGAAAAGAAATATGAGTGTAGCTGTTTCAGTGCAAAGCAGATCGGGACAAGAACAAGTGGGACACTGAAAGATTAAGTCAGAAAGATGGAAACAAAAGGAGGCATAGAACATCAAAAATATTCCCCTAGCTCCACTAATTCTTCAATGAGTAGGGATGGGGAGAGATAGTTAATGATGGAACACCACTTTGGAATGCTTATAGTTTGCTGTATTCCCCTGTACTTCTGTCAAATGTGTTACCAATATGCCTACTACAGTTCTACATTTCAGAATGTAAGTTTAGTCATTCTCACTTCAGTTCTTTTGTCTTCTTACAGTCATGCATTAAGTTACTTCAGGCATTGTTGTGGATCTATATCTGAACCAGCTGGATCCCAGCTAGAATGATTCTGGTAGCATCTTTCTACCATGTTAACATACTAAGACTCCTATCTGGAAGTGATAGAGCCATCCCTCCATATCCACAGGAAATTGGTTCCAGGATCCCTACCACCAACACCAAAATGCCTGAATGTTAGGTCCCTTACCTAAAATGGCACGCTATTTGTACATAACCTATGCATGTGCTCTTAAGTATTTTAAGTCATCTGTAGATTACTTATAATACCTAATACAGTGTAAATGCTATGCAAATAGTTATACTTTAGTGCTTTCAATATGTATTTTTTAAAATACTTTCGATTCAAGGTTAGTTGAATCCATGGATGTGGAAACCACAGATGTGAAGGGCCATCTCTATACACATTATACACACAGTTTATGAGAGATAACATTTTGACTTCGGAAATGAGAGCAAATACTATGCTTCTGGTTGTAAGATACTTAGTTTTGTAATACCTCAAAAGGAATTAAAGTAACTTGCCTGTTTACAATACTTTAAAAGTTATAAGCACTTTGATATTTATTATCACATTTTGTTCTATCCTTGTGGGGTAATAGATTTTTACAGATGAGAAATGAGATTAAAGTAACTTAACTCACCCAGGTCATGCTTGTAGTTAAAAGACCTATACTTAAGGTTTTGTCTCTTTAAGTCCTATACTCCTGTCACCTTGCCATTCTTTCCAACATAGACTACTAGAGAACAGTTTCTACATTACAACCAAAGTTTTTCTTACTAAGGCTCTTTTTTTTTTTTTTTTTTTTTTTTTGAGACGGAGTCTCATTCTGTTGCCCAGGCTGGAGTGCAGTGGTGTGATCTTGGCTTACTGCAACCTCCGCCTCCTGAGTTCAAGCAGTTCTCCTGCCTCAGCCTCCTCAGTAGCTGGGATTACAGGCATCTGCCACCATGCCTGACAAATTTTTTGTATTTTGAGTAGAAACGGGGTTTCACCATCTTGGCCAGGCTGGTCTTGAACTCCTGACCTCGTGATCCACCCACCTTGGCCTCCCAAAGTGGTGGGACCACAGGCGTGAGCCACCATGCCCGGCCTAGTAAGGCTCTATTTATAGACCACTTACCTAACATTTTCTTTATCACAGCATAGCAGTATTTGTTTTAACCACACTCTTATTTTATACCCTAGTCACTTTTTAAAAATAGAAGTCCTTTTATAAGAATATTTTACTCTTTCTGTTGTTTAATTAAAAAGCAATAAACAAGTATGCTATTCTTTTAGGAATATGCAAATGTATATTCTTTAATAAGAAATAGTTGTTCAAAATTTGCAGTTGCTGGCATCCAGTCTGAAAATGGTAAAACAGGCATATTCACCTTATGAAAAAGGGATTTCAAAGCCCTTAATAAAGTGAATAATGTATAAACAAAAGGCTCTTGTAACTATGAAGTGAATAGAGTTGCAAAAACTATGTTTTTCTAGTGATAGAAAAGAAAGTGGATACGTTTGAACTCTGTCATTCTTCTCCAAGATTCATTAAGTGTAATCTAACAAATTTTCCAAGGTGATCTTGAGTATGAACAAAAGGCTAGCCTGTGTCAGGGGAAAAAGGCAGGTATTTCCATTTTGTTTTGCTTTGTTAAAATATTTTTTTGTTTGGTAAATGTTATGGAGAAACCAATGTTAAGTACTGTTGTTTTTCCAAAGCTGCAGTAAATCATTTCAAATTCTCTGTGTTTAAAGGGCTGATGCAGGCAAAAAAGATCATTGACCAGATTGTGAAATTATGGAACTGATGCAGTAAAAGAAATGGCATATCATCAAATTTATTCTTGAGTTTTATTATTTTTTTCTCACTCTGTTTACTTTTATTTTGAGATCCCGAAATCTGAAACCCAGAACCAGTTTCTGTTTTCTGGCCCCAGATTTTCAGTTTGCTGATTGTATAAGAATATCGTACACTTTCTATTGTTTAGTTAGAAAACAACAAAATATTACATTATTCTTTTAAGAAAGTGCAAATGCATATTCTAAAATAGAAAATACCTGTTTGTGTGCCCAAAGACTCACTATCCTTGGGCAGAAAGAGTACAAGTTTCTATTGCTTTAGTTGACAGCAAAAGGTGTCACTTTCTTCATGGCTCTACATCTCAAGTTGGCATAACTATTTGTTTTATAGATGGTAGTGGGGGAGGGTAGAATTCTAGGTTATTTGTGTGGAGACGGTGGTCTTTTCAGCCAGATTTCCCTTGTCAAAATTACAGCAAGATCACAGTGTGTGTCAAATTTCCCCATCAGAACTGGACAAGAAAAGCACATGACTGTGGCAAGATCAGATAGCAACTTGACACATCTGTACACATGAAGTGTCAAGTTGAGAAGGCACTAAAAAAAAATGTTGGTTGCCTCAAGAAAACAGTCAGGGAAAGGGCAAAAAGGACAAATGAGATGAAAAATATGATCAGTCAATCAAATGCTCTTCCCTCAAACCAGGGAGGTTGTAAAAACAAGAGACCAGCCTCAGCCCTGTTTTAACTTAAGGGTGATCTCAGAAATACAAGAGCCAGTATACAACAAAGCGAACACAGATCGTGTTAGATTTTCTCCTTTTCAGTATAAAATAAGGACTTTTTCAAACCAGTTACCTATAAGCATAGATGAAACTTGGTGATTTGAATATGTCAAAATTATGACATGGCTATTTTTCCTCTGCACCCACATACTTCTTGATTATTCTGAGAGCAGAGGTCTCTTAGTGGCCATCCAGAAAGTCAGTGACCCAAAGGCTTCTGCACATCATGGAACAGCATCTGACAGAGAAAAGATGGACTGGACTCCCAGATGGGAATGATAATGATGAGCACAGCTGTACTGTCCCCCAAGATGTGTGTGTTTATACTTCTTTGTATGTGGCTCTTGCTCAAGAGCTCCAGCTCAGTGAGGGGTTCAATTCCTAACACCCTTTTCTCTGTCTGGAAAGAGAAATGTGAGTTGGAAATGCTAACCCATAAATAAACCACTGTCCTTTTTGGACAGTGGAATACTGAAGCCTGGGGCTCCCCTTTTCCAGGCTCCTTCACTCGAAATGTCCTTTATTTCTTCAAGCAATGCTGGGTGGTAGTGGTACCTAACCTCTACAAATTAGCCCGTATATTAAAAAAATGTGTTTCATCCAAAAATGTACCAGCAAATAAATTATTTGAGGGCAAGGACTCTCCTGTGCATTAAATATCCACTTGTGTGGGCCATAGTAGGTGCACAGGAGATATTTCTGGATGAATAAAATATAGCTTAGTTTTGCCATATTGAAGACTTTTACAAGTAGGTGTTAATACTCTCACCTGTAGTAGTTTTCTGCAGGTTTCAGTAGGATCATGATTATGAAAACAGCCACTACTAAAACATCCTCCACTGGAGCTGATTAACTGAATGATTGATAGCTGCAGATCTTTGTATATCCAATTTTGAAGACAACATAAAATGAGTTTCCCAATTGTCAATGTGGATTTGCAACATGGTTCCATGAAATTTCTCACATAGGTTAAACTAAGTAGAAGAGGTGGGAAATCACTGTGGTCTGATAGCATCTGTATTGCCAACTCATGAGGTTCGTCGTTGTATTTATGCCTTATGAGCTAGAAAGAGATGTTAATGATTGTATAGGATACCAGTGAAGTTGCTTTCAAAGCAATTAAAAGATTTTAAAGCCTCTATTGTGTGCAAGGCCCTAAGAGGAGGGAAAGGGAGGCCAAAAAAATTCACTGTATGTCTCTGCCCTCAAGGGGCATAAATTCTAGTTGAAGAGCAAAGGCATGTGCACCCTTGTGTGGCTTCCCCCCTCATTTCATACAGGCCTCGCTCAATCGTCACCTTATTAGAAACCCCTGCCCCCAGCACCCTTCCCTCACCATCGTGTAGCTTTAGCCCACCTTACTTTTCTTCACAGTACTTATCACAATATGAGATAACATTTATTTATTTGTTTGCTCATTTTCTGTCTCCTCTCACTAGAATGTAAGCTCAGGAGTAAAAAAGAGCTTTGTCTATTTTGCTCATTGCTGTGTGTCCAGTGCCCTGGGGACTGGCCCCTTAATAAACAGTTATTGTTGAGTGGGCAATCAATATCAGGTAGCCTATAATTTCCTCATCTGCTTGACACTAAATAATCTTTGAGCCCTTCTATGGTCAAGGACACATGTCTAGTCAGTGTGTAAAATAAGAATTAAAAGAAGTAACTTGTTCTTATCCTATTTAGAAAAATGTGAGACCCAGTAGATTTCGCCTCTTTGAAAACATTTATTGAGACTTCTTTTTTTTTTTTTTTTTTTTTTGGAGATAGAGTCTCGCTCTGTCACCCAGACTGGAGTACAAGGATGCGATCTCGGCCCACTGCAACCTCCACCTCCCAGGTTCAAGCGATTCTCCCACCTCAGCCTCCTGAGTAGCTGGGATTACAGGTACCCACCATCACGCCCGGCTAATTTTTGTAAATTTTTTTTGAAGAGATGGAGTTTCACTGTGTTGGCCAGGCTGGTCTTGAACTCCTGACCTCAGGTGATAAACCCACCTCAGCTTCCCAAAGTGCTGGGAGACTTCTTATTTTCATCCAGGCTTTCTTTTTCCTTTTTTAGATCTGTTTTTTCTGCTAGAGTCAATTCTCATTACTACCACTGTTACTGAAGTGACAATTGTACAGATGGGCCTCAAAAATGTCTGATGGCATTTTGTAGTATGCAGAATCTTATACTCACAGAAATAATCTTTTTATAGATGTTACAGTCTTGGGAAATGAAGATCACACAAATTGAATTGATTACTTGAGGGGAAAAAAAGAAAATACATAACTGCTTAATGTCTCCCAGACTCTGAATTACAGAAAAAATTTTGTTGAAACACAATGAAATTATACCGTGCAATTCAATCACAGACCAAATCTTTCAGGGTTGTTGTTGCCCTGAAATCCATCAATAAAAGCAATATTGTTTAGTTGCAAATGCAATTTTGGAGACTAATGTGAACTGTTTCCTAAAATAGCTATAGCAACAACCAATTTAATTTTCTCATAATAATTTCTATTTTTTTTTTTTCTGTAGACATGGTATCTTGGATAACACCTGACGATAATAACAAAGGAACTGTAATTCTGCAGCCTTGGCTTGACTTTTTTTATGCCTTAGGGAATGAATAAGTACGTAAATGAGAAATGAATCATGATAGTCACTTGTCAATCCAAAAATATGTGAGCAAGGTAGGCTAAGCATGATTGGCTGGGTGATTGGAGAATCTACTGAAATATATTGCTTTCTTTAAAATACATTACTCTCTTTAATTGAATTAGGTTAACTTCATGTGATTGGCACATACATTAAGATCAAGAATTGATGATGAGCAGGAGGTGATGACCAGAGGATAACACTAAATTTGAAGAAAGATTAGGAAATCACCTAAGACTGGGCTGAATGACCTTTAAATTACCTTCCAACCAGACGTTGTATGATTTTTTTTTTTAATTGGAGATGGAGTCTCGCTCTGTCACCCACGCTGGAGTGCAGTGGCGTGATCTTGAACCTCTGCCTCTCAGGCTCAAACAATTCTCCTGCCTCAGCCTCCCAAGTAGCTGGGACTACAGGCGCACGCCGCCAGTCCTAGCTAAGTTTTTGTATTTCAGTAGAGAAGTTTCACCATGTTGCCGGGTTGGTCGCGAACTCCTGAGCTCAGGCAATCCACCCACCTCGGCCTCCTAAAGTGCTGGGATTACAGGCATGAGCCACCGCGCCTGGCCCAGACACTATGATTTTTAAGAAACTGTAGCCCATCACTTGGTGCCTTCATCCAGAAATATCTTTTGAAGTAACAGTAGGGAACTGAAAAATCTGTGATAGAGTGAAAGAGATAATTAACAGGTTCTTCCAGCTGGATTCTCACCTCCTCCAGTGGAGGATGTTTTAGTAGAAAATATCAGCCCAACTGATATTTTCCAAGATTGTTGGGTCTTAAGAGTCATTAGATGAGATTGTTAAAAATACCAGGTCTCAGGCTCCTCTCTGTCTCTGAGTTCTGCAGATTCTGATTAAGTGGAGACAGTTTAAAAAAGAGGGAGAACGACCTCCTATAATCCTACCAGAAATTATGTTGTCATTTTATGTTTTTGCATTAACTACATAAAATGACTCACCCTATATATGATTGTTTCTACTTATCTAGATGTTTGCCTAATCCAGGAAATGATGAATTTAAATTTTGAATTACCAAGGGACAGAATTATGATCACATCTACATTTAATTTGTGATGATTTTTATATATATGTTTTAGATATATGCACACTTAAGCATTTTAAAAATTATATATGTTTATCTTATATAATATATAATGTTATACATATAAATTATTATATAGAAAATTGCGTATGTGTTTGTTTTGAAAACATTGAAAAGGAAAGTGATTGATGTTGTTTTCCTTTCATATTGTAAAATAAATTCTCAGAGAAAGAGGACTTGGCAATTTTAAAACTGTGTGTGATTGCCAATAAGATAATTTAGATTACATTCTTAACACTTCTCATCAGGGAGGAAATGTTTTGCAAAGAATGGGTACACTGACATAGGAACAACATCATTGATTTTCCTGTTTAGAAAAAAAAAATGCAGCTTGTTGCCAGCGCTTATTTAATTTTACATAAACATGCTCTTTGAGAGTGAAGCAAATCTGACTGATTTTCAAAGTGAAAATAAAATATACAGACTGTTCTTGGAGTTATTTCTAAACAGAATGAACATCAGAATTGTCTGAATCATCAGAATTGTCTATTTCAGAAAAATTGATTCATCAAATGAATCTTTGGCCAACAAATGTTCAAGAACGATATTAACATCACATGTAGGAATGCTACGTTTTCTAAGATTTGACATTTTTAGCAATGAGGAATTACTATATTTTGTAAATAGAAATAACACTACTAACAACAGAAAGCTATAAATAGAATGACGTCTTTTGTTTCCAAGAGCCATGTGAAAATAATAAAAGCAAGATATTTTCTGGCAAATTTATCTTGGGGTTAATGCTGCAGCCACAAGCACCTCCAGTGAGTATTCTTGGGGCAAATGGAAAAGGGGTTAAAAATTTAAAAAGTCTTATGATCTCATGGGTGTAAATTAAGATATTACTTCCTTATAGACTCAAGTTAATAATTACTTTGGAAACAACATATTAATTTTTGATAACTTTAGAAAATCACCCTGAACAAAAAGGAAAAAATGTTTAGCTAGTTAGTATGATAAAATCATTAATTAAAATATTTAACTCCCTGCTGATACTCTATAATGGAGCTGTCGCCAGAAAAGCATAAGATGACTATTTTTTCTTATAAGAAGATTTTGCATTCATAATTCAGTGTACTCATTGAAGGGACAAAGACATTTGCGCTCACACAGCTGTGTGGATAAAGGGATTCAGATTACCTGAGTATTGATTGTTCTTTGAGTTCCTAGGTGGAGAAATTGACATTCATATATTAGAGCTAATGAGAGATGGACCTTCTCCCTAGACACTTGCTGAGTTAAAAATAACATTAAAATATTTTCAAAAATTATAGGGAAAAACAAATATGTGTAGCTCAAAATCAGACTGAGGACTAAGGGGGTGGATTAACATCTGGTGAAGGCTTGGGTTATCCTGAGGCACGTTTCTCTGTGCTTCAGCCTTTCACCGGGAAAATTATACTTTCTCTGAGTTTACAGAGATTCAATGAGCTCATCCATGTAAAGTGCTCAGAAGAGTACCTAGCAGATAAGAATGGCCAACAACAGTCGCTATTATTATCACAAAACATACAGTAGAGAGTGGTCTCCAGGAAATCACCTGGTCCAGGCATCCCTCTTCAGCTGTGTTATTTTGTTTCTAAAGATGAGGTTATGTGGACTTGAGAGGTCTAGAGCCTACCCCATAAACCACCTTGTCTTAGGTACATTCACTGACATTATAGCCTACCTCTTACCTTTTCAGAAAATAATTTTGGAACATTTTCTGTCACATAGATGCTTAACAAATATTGAATAGAGAAATAATTGTATGAATTATTCTTTAACAGCTTTATCAAGGTGTAATTGATAAAAATTGTACACATTTAAGATATGCAACCTGATATTTTGACATATGTATACATTATGAAATGATCACCATAATCAAGCTAATTATCACATATCCATTACATCACAAAGTTACCATTGTTGTCTTCTTTTTCCCTTCTCCTCTTCCTCGTCCTCCTCTCCTGTCTCCTCCTCCTCATGTCAAGAACAGTTAAGAGCTATCTATCTTTTAACCACATTTCAAGTATACAATACAGCATTGTTAACTGTAGTCATGATGCTCTATATGAGGTCTCTGGAACTTATTCATTTTGCGTAACTGAAACTTCATACTTTTTTTTTTTAATTGAGATGGAGTTTCGCTCTTGTTGCCCAGGCTGGAGTGCAATGGCACCATCTTGGCTCACTGCAACCTCCGCCTCCTGGGTTCAAGCTATTCTCCTGCCTCAGCCTCCTGAGTAGCTGGGATTACAGGCAACTTCCACCACACCCAGCTAATTTTGTATTTTTAGTAGAGATGGGGTTTCACCATGTTGGCCAGGCTGGTCTCGAACTCCTGACCTCAGATGATCCACCTGCCTTGGCCTCCCAAAGTGTTGGGATTACAGGCATGAGCCACCGTGCCTGGCCAGTATAGGCTTTTAGACTAAAAGCCAAGACGTCTTGTAATAAATTTCTGTTTTCTATAGTGCCTCATAACTTCCATCTATTAATGAACACGGAGACTGCTACTTCCTAAAACTGATGAAGCAGGAAGAGAGCAGACATGGAGACAATCACATGAGCTATTTACTATCCACCCATGCTGATTTCTTTTTTCTTTTGTTTTTCTTTTTTTTTGAGACAGAGTCTTGCTCTGTCTCCCAGGCTGGAGTGCAGTGGCACGATCTTGGCTCACTGCAACCTCTGCTTCCCGGGTTCAAGCAATTCTGCCTCAGCCTCCTGAGTAGCTGGGACTACAGGTGCACACTGCCATGCCTGGCTAATCTTTTCTTGTATTTTAGTAGAGACAGGGTTTCACCATGTTGCCCAGGCTGGTCTCAGACTCCTGAGCTCAGGCAATCCACCTGCCTCGGCCTCTCAAAGTGCTGGGATTACAGGCATGAGCCACTGCATCTGGCCAATTTATTTTCTTTTGCAATTTTTTGACAAGTAAAAGTTGTATATACTTAGGATGCGCAACATGATGTTTTGACCTACGTTATACATTGTGTAATGGCTAAATAAAGCTATTTAACCCACCCATTACCTTATATACTTATTTTTTTTTTGTGGTAAGAACATTTAAAATCTACACTCTCAGCAATTTTCAAGCATGTGATATATTGGTATTAACTATGGTCACCATAAATCTCTTTAATATATGTCTCTTAACTGAAATTTTATTTACCAACATCTCCCCAGTCTCTTTACCTGTCCCTCGTCCCTGCTCCCAGTCTCAGGTAATCACCATTCTACTCTCCGCTTCTATGAATTTGATTGTTTTACATTCCATGCATGAGTGAGATCATGTGGTATTTGTCTTTCTGTGCATGGCTTGTTTCACTTGGCTTGATGTCCTCCATGTTCATCCATGTTGTTGCATATGACTGGATTGCCTTATTTTTGGTTAAAACTTTTAGCCACCTCTCCCAACTTCAGACTCTAAGCTTTATGAAAGCAAGAACTGCTGTTATGTTTACCAATATGTATCTATCCATTAGTTTCATGTCTCGTATAAAGTAGATACTCAAAAATCTGTGTTGAATAAAGGAATAAACATAACAGGCATAAAATAAATATTTATTATGTTGCCAGTGCTGGGTACATCACTTCACATACATAGGTGCTTAATCAATATTGAATGAGTAGACATGAAAATGAAATGCAGCATCAAAATTTGGGGGTGTGGGGTGGGGTTTACATAGCCTTGAGTTAACTAGGTATGTTAAATGTGCCAAACTAACCTATTATGTAATCAGAGCCCTGGTAACAAATGAAAATCTACTCTCCCTTGTAAGTCCCTGTTTCTTCTGATTCAAGTTGAGTATGCTAAGTGCCCATTGAGACTTTAGCCTTATCTTTCTAGCAATGGCTCTGGGCTTATATAGAATTTCACTTTGAGACAGTGGTTGGTGAAGCAGTATACTGTATGAGACTGGTAAAAAGAGTGAAGAGTTGAGAGGCTCCATTTGGTTTCAGTTTGTACCATTGTTTGAAGTACTCAGTTGGTTGAATACTCCAAATAATGGTTCAAATTCAAACCAAATGGAGCCTCTCCACTCTTTTTATACAGAAAAAACAGAAAGCACTGTTGTATTGAAAATAGTTCTTTTGGAATAACATAAAATATCAGAGATAACATGCTTTGCCATTAAACAAATTCATGACCTAGAAAATTTATTCTTTTTATTCATCACTGATTTGGGTAACTGAAAATTGCGTCAATTATCTTCTCATAGTTATCCCAGAAAAGGAACAAGTATAAAAACAGTCCCTCTTGCTACATAGCCTCCTGTTATGTGCTCTGCACATATCTCTGTTATGGCAATACCATGTTATTGAGCAATTTTTGTATTCATATACATGTGAGATGGGGTTTTGTCCTCACTTTATTTAGTTAGTTTTATTGAGACAGGGTTTCATTCTGTCATCCAGGCTGGAATGGAGTGGAGCAATCAGGGTTCACTGCAGCCTTGACCTCCAGGACTCAAGTGTTCCTCCTACCTCAGCCTGCTGAGTAGCTGGGACTACAGGTGCACACCACCTGGCTAACTTTTTTATTTTTTGTAGAGATGGGGTGTCTCTACATTGCCCAGGCTTGTCTCGAACTCTTGGGCTCAAGAAATCCTCCTGCCTCATGTGTAGAGGGAAATTTATAGCACTAAATGCCTACAAGAGAAAGCAGGAAAGATCCAAAATTGACACCCTAACATCACAATTAAAAGAACTAGAAAAGCAAGAGCAAACACATTCAAAAGCTAGCAGAAGGCAAGAAATAACTAAAATCAGAGCAGAACTGAAGGAAATAGAGACACAAAAAACCCTTCAAAAAATCAATGAATCCAGGAGCTGGTTTTTTGAAAGGATCAACAAAATTGATAGACCGCTAGCAAGACTAATAAAGAAAAAAAGAGAGAAGAATCAAATAGACACAATAAAAAATGATAAAGGGGATATCACCACCGATCCCACAGAAATACAAGCTACCATCAGAGAATACTACAAACACCTCTATGCAAATAAACTAGAAAATCTAGAAGAAATGGATACATTCCTCGACACATACACTCTCCCAAGACTAAACCAGGAAGAAGTTGAATCTCTGAATAGACCAATAACAGGATCTGAAATTGTGGCAATAATCAATAGTTTACCAACCAAAAAGAGTCCAGGACCAGATGGATTCACAGCCGAATTCTACCAGAGGTACAAGGAGGAACTGGTACCATTCCTTCTGAAACTATTCCAATCAATAGAAAAAGAGGGAATCCTCCCTAACTCATTTTATGAGGCCAGCATCATTCTGATACCAAAGCTGGGCAGAGACACAACCAAAAAAAAAAATTTTAGACCAACATCCTTGATGAACATTGATGCAAAAATCCTCAATAAAATACTGGCAAACCGAATCCAGCAGCACATCAAAAAGCTTATCCACCATGATCAAGTGGGCTTCATCCCTGGGATGCAAGGCTGGTTCAATATACGCAAATCAATAAATGTAATCCAGCATATAAACAGAGCCAAAGACAAAAACCACATGATTATCTCAATAGATGCAGAAAAAGCCTTTGACAAAATTCAACAACCCTTCATGCTAAAAACTCTCAATAAATTAGGTATTGATGGGACGTATTTCAAAATAATAAGAGCTATCTATGACAAACCCACAGCCAATATCATACTGAATGGGCAAAAACTGGAAGCATTCCCTTTGAAAACTGGCACAAGACAGGGATGCCCTCTCTCACCACTCCTATTCAACATAGTGTTGGAAGTTCTGGCCGGGGCAATCAGGCAGGAGAAGGAAATAAAGGGTATTCAATTAGGAAAAGAGGAAGTCAAATTGTCCCTGTTTGCAGACGACATGACTGTTTATCTAGAAAACCCCATCGTCTCAGCCCAAAATCTCCTTAAGCTGATAAGCAACTTCAGCAAAGTCTCAGGATACAAAATCAATGTACAAAAATCACAAGCATTCTTATACACCAACAACAGACAAACAGAGAGCCAAATCATGAGTGAACTCCCATTCACAATTGCTTCAAAGAGAATAAAATACCTAGGAATCCAACTTACAAGGGATGTGAAGGACCTCTTCAAGGAGAACTACAAACCACTGCTCAAGGAAATAAAAGAGGACACAAACAAATGGAAGAACATTCCATGCTCATGGGTAGGAAGAATCAACATCGTGAAAATGGCCATACTGCCCAAGGTAATTTACAGATTCAATGCCATCCCCATCAAGCTACCAATGACTTTCTTCACAGAATTGGAAAAAACTACGTTAAAGTTCATATGGAACCAAAAAAGAGCCCGCATTGCCAAGTCAATCCTAAGCCAAAAGAACAAAGCTGGAGGCATCACACTACCTGACTTCAAACTATACTACAAGGCTACAGTAACCAAAACAGCATGGTACTGGTACCAAAACAGAGATATAGATCAATGGAACAGAACAGAGCCCTCAGAAATAATGCCACATATCTACAACTATCTGATCTTTGACAAACCTGAGAAAAACAAGCAATGGGGAAAGGATTGCCTATTTAATAAATGGTGCTGGGAAAACTGGCTAGCCATATGTAGAAAGCTGAAACTGGATCCCTTCCTTACACCTTATACAAAAATCAATTCAAGATGGATTAAAGATTTAAACGTTAGACCTAAAACCATAAAAACCCTAGAAGAAAACCTAGGCATTACCATTCAGGACATAGGCGTGGGCAAGGACTTCATGTCCAAAACACCAAAAGCAATGGCAACAAAAGCCAAAATTGGCAAATGGGATCTAATTAAACTAAAGAGCTTCTGCACAGCAAAAGAAACTACCATCAGAGTGAACAGGCAACCTACAACATGGGAGAAAATTTTCGCAACCTACTCATCTGACAAAGGGCTAATATCCAGAATCTACAATGAACTCAAACAAATTTACAAGAAAAAAACAAACAACCCCTTCAAAAAGTGGGTGAAGGATATGAACAGACACTTCTCAAAAGAAGACATTTATGCAGCCAAAAAACACATGAAAAAATGCTCATCATCACTGGCCATCAGAGAAATGCAAATCAAAACCACTATGAGATATCATCTCACACCAGTTAGAATGGCAATCATTAAAAAGTCAGGAAACAACAGGTGCTGGAGAGGATGTGGAGAAATAGGAACACTTTTACACTGTTGGTGGGACTGTAAACTAGTTCAACCATTGTGGAAGTCAGTGTGGCGATTCCTCAGGGATCTAGAACTAGAAATACCATTTGACCCAGCCATCCCATTACTGGGTATATACCCAAATGACTATAAATCATGCTGCTATAAAGACACATGCACACGTATGTTTATTGCGGCATTATTCACAATAGCAAAGACTTGGAACCAACCCAAATGTCCAACAATGATAGACTGGATTAAGAAAATGTGGCACATATACACCATGGAATACTATGCAGCCATAAAAAATGATGAGTTCATGTCCTTTGTAGGGACATGGATGAAATTGGAAACCATCATTCTCAGTAAACTATCACAAGAACAAAAAACCAAACACCGCATATTCTCACTCATAGGTGGGAATTGAACAATGAGATCACATGGACACAGGAAGGGGAATATCACACTCTGGGGACTGTGGTGGGGTCGGGGGAGAGGGGAGGGATAGCATTGGGAGATATACCTAATGCTAGATGACACGTTAGTGGGTGCAGCGCACCAGCATGGCACATGTATACATATGTAACTAACCTGCACAATGTGCACATGTACCCTAAAACTTAAAGTATAATTAAAAAAAAAAACATTAAAAAAAAAAAAAAAAAAAAAAAAAGAAATCCTCCTGCCTCCCAAAGTGCTGGGATTATAGGCATGATCCATGAACATATTTTGTCATTAAATTTCATTACCTACATTCTTTTTATTCATTACTGATTTGAGTAACTGAAAAGAGTCAATCTTCAGATTTCATGATCTCCATCAATGCATCTTATAATTTACTGATTTTTTTTTCTGGCACTTCAGATCTGTTGATCCCCTCTAGTGAATTTTTCATTTTGTTTCTTGTAGCTTTTAACTTCCAGATTTTTACTCAGTTCTTTTTATTAATTTATGTATTACTATTCTCTATTTGATGACACTGCCACCATATCTTTCTTTACCTCTTTAAACATCATTTTCTTCATTTATATTTATAACAAATTTGAAGTATTTGCCTGCTAAACCTAACATCTAGGCTCTCAGAGGGAATTTCTATTGCCTACTCTTTTTCCCTATGGATGGATCACATTTGCTTTTCATTTCTTGTAATTTTGTTAAATCTGGACATTTTAGATAATACATTGTAGCAACTCTGAATCATAATCTCATCACCCATGTACCTACAGGGTTTTTTTTATTGCATGCTTATTTCTTTAGTGACATGGTTGTACTATTTTAATGAAGTCTACTTCCATAGCAACGTATAGTCTCCTTGTGTTAACTCCACATTGGGCACAGCCTTGGGCATATTAACAGTCACCATAGAATGACAACAGTTTTAGAAAAGCACTCTTCATCTTTCTCTTTTCTTCATCTCTCTATTGTCTACCTCTCTTGTTATCACACTCAGCTCTTAGCCTCAAGTAATACCTGCTGATTGCTCTATTATTTTTGATAATGCATTGGGACATATATTGCTGCACAGTCTGATCTAATTAAATATGGGATTCTCTGCAGGATTAGATTTTGAGGCTAGTGTTTGAGGCCTGTTATGACCCCAGAGGTCTATTCTTAGCTGTTTCTTTCCCTGATTCTCTCAGTTGAATCACAAGCTGTTCTACAGTTTAGCCTGTTGGTTGCTCTGATAAAGCTACCACCTTCCTCTTAATTGCTCACCAGCAAAATCTCCTTTGTTTTAGACAGCATCCTTTCATTTGAACTTCCCCACACTCTGTTCTAAACAAAATCAGTGCCCTCGGGGAGAACTGCAGAGGTCTCTGTTCTTACAGGTTGCCTCTTTCTTTAGAAAAAAATGGTTTCACTATTCTGGAGCTTGCTTTAGGGACAGTAGCACACTTCTCTTGGAGTGACTCCATGACACTCTTATTGTATGAGTGGGGTTCTGGGCAGGGGTGATATCCTCTGTTCTTCCCAGCTTGGTTCACCCAGTAGAAAGCCTCTACTTTATGAGTTAACAGGAGAGAGGGTGATTGGGGTTCAGTATTCTTGGTCTGTCATGCCTGGATAGAGCTTCTGCCATTGAAATGAGGATGGGTGTAGGAATGGAGTTCCAGACCTCTCAAATGGTTTGCCTGAAATAGAGCTTCTGCAACATGGAGCTGGAGGTACAAAAAATGCTGGTTTACTGTCCTTCCCATGAAGAAACTGTAATCCTATCCTGGGAGCACTAAAGAACCAACAAAGGCCATATTTATTATGCACTTTTAATATAATGGGAGAACTGGATTTACCATAGTTAAGCGCATAATTTACCATGCTTGAGGCACTGTATTTTCCTCATACTGTCCTTGAATGTCAGAGTTTATTTAGAGCTATTTTTCACAGGTAGGGAGCAAGGGATAGAGTGGAGGGAGGGAACTCTGTGTTCTTGGCTGCACCTTCTAAGAGTTGAGTTTCCATCATGGTGATATGGAGTGGGGTGGGGATTAGGTCACGGCTCAACTACGACAGACTCTTACTGTTCTTACCAAAATTGAGTAGGTTTTCTTAAATAATTGTTTCTCCATTTGCTGAATGCCCTCAACAATTTTCAGAGAGTTTTCATGTTTTATTTAATTAATGTACTTTTACAGTTTTTACCAATCATGGTCGTTCCCTGGAGAAAGGGCCATGGGGATCCTCACATTGCCATTCTGGAAGTCACATCTCGATATTTTGCATTTTAATGAGCTTACAAAGCTATCAAAGCCAGGCCACTGCTCACTAGATTAAATGTCCCTTTGTTACCCATTAGAAAAAGCCTCTCTGTTCTGACTTTCAGACAGTGTGCCATCACCTGCCAGGAAATTGTCATAATAAATATACAATCTACAATAGCAATCAATATAAAAACTGCCTTTAGAGTTGTTCATTATGGCACTTAATAAGCTGGGCATAATGTCCCTGCATGGACCTTTAAAGATGATGTTTTGTCAGCAGGAAAACAAAATGAGGTGGCAACAATGTATTTCTAGAGTCCCCAAACTTGCCTATTGAATACACATCTACCCTGTCTATAAGAGAGGCCATCTTTATTTTTATGCACATTTAATATAATGGGAGAACTGGATTTACCAAAGTTCATATTTTTCATGCTTGGGGCACCATATTTGCCTCATACTTTCCATGGATGTCAGAGTCTATTCATTGTTATTTTTTCATAGGTAGGTAGAAAATGGATCTCCTGTGAAGTATATTTATATAAAGTAGAACGACTAAATAAAGGCGTGTTTCTTTAACGTAATAAGCATGAGAACTACATTTAATTCTTAGTCATATTTCCTGCATTTCATTTGTTGTGAATCAAGCATCCAGGTCCATATTCTATTCTGCTTTGTTATGCTATGAACTTGCAGAATGTTCATAGTAGTGTTCAGGGAGTAAAGAAACACATGCCTATTGATTGTGAGGTGACCATAAAACGTTTGCAACCTCTGTATTTACAGACTTTTTAATGCTTTCTTATTAACTTTTCTCAAAAACCATGACCCTATTTCCGTCACCTGAAAATAATGAGCTGCAAATCACATCTGAATCTACGACAGGAAAAGAAGATACAGGGATAATCTGGGAAAAGAAACATGATCTGTAGCCTTACATTTAAAGTGCCACATTGTTAGCCCTACTCCTTTGTTTTCGGCTTTTATTTTACTTTCGATCATTCCTCATTTCTGTTTTTTCCTCTCTCATCATTATCTCAGATTCATGCTGCTCTTTGGCTGCTGTGGGGTTGCTGTATTTTCTCCTGAGAGAAATGAGTACTCGAAGTGACTGATGCTGTTAATGCTTGTTACTGAGTTAGAAAGGAGTTAGGTAGATGCCATTAATTTTCTCCAGGGACAGCAAGTGGAAATCTGGAATGCCACCTGGTAAGAGGTGGATTAGTGAGAAGAAGGTGAAATCTTGAATCCATGTTACCTATTTCTTGGTTCACATGTACCTAACTCCTCAGGTATTATACACCATCTTCAAATGATTAAGTGACAATGCCTAGTGTAAAAACATGTAGTTACTTTAATGGTTTTTCAGTTGGTTTTATTGATGTATACTTGGGTTATAGTAAAATTTATCCTTTTTTTAGGTGTGAAGTTTGTTATTTTTCAGCAAATGAATACAATTTGTGTAACCACCATGACAACCATGATATAGATTATTTTCATCACCCCGCAAAGTTTCTAGTGCCCCTTTCTGGCTGACACCCTCCACTTCCTCCTTTCACCTCTAGCAACTGATTTCTGTATCCTCAGTTTTGCCTTTTGCAGAATGACATATAAATGGATCACAAAAGTATGCAGCCCTTTGTGTCTGAGTTCTTGCACTTAGCTTAATGCCTTTAAGCCTAATTTATTTGTTGCAGGTATTAAGTAGTTTGTATTGCAAAGTAGTGTTCCATTGTATCATATACCACAATTTATATATTCACTGATTCTTGGGCATTTAAGCTTTTTCCAATTTTTGGAAACCATGAATAAAGCTGCTGTAAACTTCCATGTACAGAAATTCGTGTGGACATACATTTTTGTTTATCTTGAATAAATACTTAGGAGTGAAACTGCTGGGTTGTGCCATGTGTATATATTTAATGCTATAAGAATGCCCCACACTCTTTTCCAAAGTAGGTATGCCATTTTGCACGCTCATTAGTAAAATATGAGATTTCTAATTGCTCCTCATCCTCGCCAGCACTTGCTATTGCCAGTTTTTTGGTTTTTTAATTTTGCTGTTCTAGTAGGTATTTAGTGATATCGTTGATTTTAGAGATCTAGTTTGCCCCTGTGGTTTTGGTTTGCATTTTCCTAATAACAAATACGTTGACATTTTCATATGCTTATTTGCCATTTTGCTTTCAACTTTGTTGAAGTATTTATTTAAATTTCTTAGCCCATTTTTCTAAACTTTTAAAAAATTATAATTGACAACTATGAATTGTGAGTTACAATAAAATTTAAATATATGTATGTACATATATATAATTGAGTTGACTTTAATAAAATATTGAGTTGTAAGAGTTTTTAAATATATATATATATATATATGATAGAAGCTCTTTATCAGATATGTGTTTTGCAAATATTTTCTCCCAGTCTGTGGCTTATCTTTTAATTTTCTTAATATCATTTATTCAAAAGCATAAAATTTTATTATTAAGTCCAATTTATCAAGTTTTTTTTTTTAATGGCACATGCTTTTTTGATTCTAAGAAGTTTTTGCTATTCCAATGTCATAAGAATTTTTCTCTTATGTTTTCTCACAAAAGATGTATAATTTCACATTTAAGTCTGTGATCCATTTTGAGTTGTTTTATGCTTATGGTATAATATATAAGTGAGCTTTCTTTTTTTTTTTGTATGTGGATGTCCATACCTAAAAGCACCATTTGCTGAAAAGACTATTCTTTCTTCCAGTGACCTACTATGACATGTTTGTTGAAAATTGGTTGACAATATCTATCTATCTATCTATCTATAGGTCCATTTCCGGACTTTCTTCCTTGTTCCTATTTTACATGAATAGTATCTTTTCCATTATAGCTTAATAGTTTAAAATCATGTACCACAAGTTCTACAGCTTTTTTCTTCTTTCCAAATTTTTCCTCATATAAATTTAGGGTCAGTTTTTCAATTTGTACAAAAAAGAATATCAGGATTTTGATTGGAATTGCGTTGAATCTCTTTATCAACTTACAGAGAATTAATACCTTAGCAATATTATTTCAGTCTATGAACATGATATAACTCCCATTCATTTAGTTTGTATTAATTTTTCCCATCAATTTTTATACCTTCAGCATATGGATCTTAGAATTATTTTACTAGACTATACCTAAGAATTTCTTGTTTTACTGTCCTATTGTAAATGGCGTTGTTTTAAAATTTTTAATTGTGCATTTGTACTATATAGAAAACATTTGATTTTTGCATGTTACCCTTTATTGTATCTTGCTAAACTCACATGTTAGTCCTACTTAATATTTTTTGTAGCATATTTGGGATTTTCTATTTAGAGCATCAAGTTGTCTGTTACTAAAAACTGTTTTATTTCTCTCTAATTTTTGTGCCTTGTTTTCTTGTCTTATAATGGATAGCATCTCTAGTACAATGTTGAATAGAAGGAATATGAGTAGAGACACTTGCCTTTTCTCCTTTTCTTAACAAATTTACTCAATTAAAAATGTGAAGGTAATGAAGAATATCAGAGTGGTATCAGAAACCTTAAGTTCTAGTCCAGATTTACAATTAACAAATTATGCATAGTTTAAGGTATTTTTTCTCTCTACATTATCGTGATGAATATCCACAGCATGAAGTGTTTAATACCAAATAAAGAAAATAAAGATAAGATAATAGAGTATCAGATTTCTTGATAGTGATTTTAATTTGTATGAATGAAATAGAAAAGGTCTGACACCCAATTAAATCTCATGATCTATAGACAACAATATTTAAGGATATAACTATATAGTTATAACTACTCAGTGTTATTTGAATTTTAATGCTAGTCATGTATTGTGTACACATTTACAATGTTCAAGTAATTCTAAATCAAAAGTTAGAAATATCAGATTTTGTTGCAAGTGAATTAAAAAAATGTCTGCTTGCACAGTTTCAGTCTTTGTATAGTCTGCCTCATAAGATTGCAGTTGTTGGGTAACAAAGAAAATACATACCACATTACAAATTATATTATTAGCTTTATAGTTTCAAAATTAGCTTTTTATGAGTTTAAACTGTGGAAACTAATGTATTAGCTGTGGATGCCTTTGGGTGAACTAACATGATCAAACATCTGACTCTAAAGGGCTAAAGGCAGTCTTTAGATGATGGTGCTCTTACCCAGAATGTTTACCTGATCCTTATTGTTTTCTAATTTAAAATTCCTGAAGCAGTGTAAGTTCAATAAAGAATTGTGTGTGTGTGTGTCTGTGTGTGTGCGCTCGCACACGTGCACACGTGCTTTTCTGTTTCATACTTGCTTGAATTTGACCTTTTTCTTTTCAATGACAGGTATTTATTATCTCAGAAGAATATGAATTATAATAATAAGACAAAAGTAAGTGTCGATTTCAACCTTTGACTGTCAAAATAGAATCTTGTAGCCCATAGACAGGTAATAGCTCTGAAAGTTTTATGTCAGAAGGCCACTTTTCTTAAAATTTAAAACCATTTTTTTGTTTTTTTAAACATATTAAGAACAAAACTTGTGGTCTAAACTGAGATTTTAAGCCATAGGAAGTAAGAACTCAACGTATGCCCAGGTTAAAAACAGAGTCCCTGTAATTGAAGAAAGTGAGGAGTGTGGAGAAGGCAAGGAAGGGCTCAGAGTCCAGGAGAATGGAATGACCTTTCTTCCTGCTCCCTCAGATGAGCAGCAGGCTCCTCTCTAGCCCGAGTCCTCCCTGCCTTGCCTTGGGTGTGAGCAGTGAGAAGAAAGGAGCTCCAGGGGAGGACTTACTGAACTCAAGGAGGAGATTACCATGCAGGGAGTCCCTGCTACAGTATTCAACACAGAGCACTTGCAGATGGAGGAGACGGTGTTGTGGTGTGTTTAGACAGAGGGCCTGAGAGAATGTCCCTGCACAAATCTCAGCTCCCACGTGAACTGTCAGGATTCCACAAATTCCTCTGTTGCCTGTGGGGGTTATAGAAAACCAGTAAGGATAAAATTAAGCTGATGGCTTTAGGGTGCCCCCACAGAGCAAAGTTGTGGCTATGTGTAAGGAAATCTGCAGTGTCCATGAGAGGAAGGGGAAGACTGATCAATAGTAAGGAATTGGGCGATGTCCTTGGAGGCATTTATATGATTGGCCCAGGCTAAGGAAGAAATTCACAGCTGATATCAGCCATGGCCAATTCAGCAGATGCCCAGAGGCAAACGAGACAATACATTAATTCGACAGATGGCATTAGAACCTCTGACTATCCAATTCCATGAGAATTTCATGTATTTCCCTGTACCCAGACACTATCTTGGAAGGGAAGCAGGAATGGAAGACCCCTTGAGAAAAAAAAAAAAAAGAGCTTTGGACCAAGATTACACTTTGACCAGGCTCCATTTTTGTCCAAAAGTGAAGTCCCCCTTTAGTTAGAAAGTTTAAATCATCCTGCCAAACCTGCCTGCCATCAGAGAAAAAAGTATTCAGCAACATTGTGAATGTATGGACAATAAAGAAAAGAAACTTTTGTGTTTTGCACTTTGGAGAATCTTGTGAATTTTCATCCTATTCCAACCTTCTGAAAAATAACAGTTTTTCAGAACAGAACATTTGCTTCATAGATACAGTTGTGTGGCTGCTGCCCCTCCCAGTAACAGCACTAAGCTGAATGCTTGACTTCTTGGCAGATACAAATTCTGTGCCCCACTTCTTACCTCATTACTGTCAACTTTGGAGTCAGAAATCCTTTGAAAAGGCTTTGAAATTTGACGCCAGTGAAAAACCTGTTCTTTACAAGAAAGTCATCCATATGTTATTGAGAACTATTTTATTATACTTTAAGTTCTAGGGTACACATGCACAATGTGCAGGTTTGATACATAGGTATATATGTGCCATGTTGGTTTGCTGCACCCATCGACTAGTTATTTACATTAGGTATTTCTCCTAATGCTATCCTTCCGCCAGCCCCTCACCCCCCAACAGGCCCTGGTGTGTGATGTTCCCCGCCCTGTGTCCAAGTGATCTCATTGGTCAGTTCCCACCTATGAGTGAGAACGTGTAGTGTTTGGTTTTCTGTCCTTGTGATAGTTTGCTAAGAATGATGGTTTCCAGCTTCATCCATGTCCCTGCAAAGGACATGAATTCATCCTTTTTTATGGCTGCACCTGGAGAACAATATTTAAAAGTAGATACATAACGGGATTTGTATGGCTTTAAGTTAGAGGATGAACCTGAGGTGATCCAACTGGAGAAGCCAATATCAGTTAAAAATAAATACTCTCATGTTTTAGGATAGTGTTCTTGAAGGAGTGTACTGTCTGTCCAGAACAAAGCAGGGTTGTTTCCTCTTGACTGCAAAGGGCTTCTTGCTTCCCCTGATGTTCAAAATTCCTGCCATGGGGCTATTTATAAGTGAATCTGCATCAAGAAGTTCCATACTTACGGAATGACAGTTGTCATCTGAGTTTCAGGCTTTCCTCAATACTCGTACCAGTTTTAGTTTCAATATTTCAAAAGAAATTAGCATCTAGGCAAGAGTAATGCAAATGCATTATCTCTTGTTAGGCATATATTTAGACCATGAATGAGATAGATTTTGGATTTAGAAATAAGAAAGAATTTCTTGCCTCTCACCAATCTGACCTATAGCAACGATTCTCAAAGTGCTGTTATTAGTCCACCTTCATCTGGAAATGTGTTGTGAGAAATTATTGAAAATGAAAATTCTCAAGCCCCAGTCCAGACCGATTGAATCCAAAACTCTGGTGGGGCAGGTGAGGACTTGTGTTTTAACCAGCCCTACAGATGATTCTGATGCATGCTAAAGGTGGGGAACCATTAATCTATAGGACATTACTTAAAAAAAATCACCTTTCTGAAATCCCTTAAAATAAGACTGATGACTGTGTATACAGAACACTTTGGTAAAAATATTTCCAAGGAGTAGTTAGACTAAATAATCTATTTAATATTACTTTCTTGACATATATCGAACAAGTTTATACATTTCCCAAAATGATACATATAGTGTAGATCAGTTTGGTCACTGTTTTAAATGTAAACATATGTGATAAAGAGGTTAAAGAAGAAAATAAATGTAAAATATTTAGAACAGTGCTTAGAACTGTGCCTTGCACTTAGCTGAATGCTGTATAAAATAACAGCTCTTAAGGGACATCTACTTCATGTAGGCAATGTGCTAGCCAGTTTTGGGTATATAACCAATAATGAGATTGCTGGGTCAGATAGTATTTCTGGTTCCCTCTTAGAGGAATTGCCACACTGTCTTCCACAATGGTTGAACCAATTTACATTCACACAAACAGTGTAAACGCGTTCCTATTTCTCCACAGCCTCACTGGCATCTGTTGTTTCTTGACTTTTTAATAATCACCATTCTGACTGGCGTGAGATGGTATCTCATTGTGGTTTTGATTTGCATTTCTCTAATGATCAGTGATGTTGAGCTTTTTTTTCATGTTTATTGGCCGTATAAATGTCTTCTTTTGAGAAGTGCCTGTTCATGTCCTTTGCCCACTTTTTAATGAAGTTATTTGGTTTTTCTTGTAAATTTAAATTCCTTGTGGATTCCGGATATTAGACCTTTGTCAGATGGATAGATTACAAAAATTTTCTCCCATTCTGTAGGTTGTCTTTTCATGCTGATAATAGTTTATTTTGCTGTACAGGAGCTCTTTAGTTTAATTAGATCCCATTTGTCAATTTTTGCTTTTGTTGTGATTGCTTTTGACGTTTTTGTCATGAAATCTTTGCCTGTGCCTATGTCCTGAATGGTATTGCCTAGATTTTCTTCTAGGGTTTTTATAGTTTTGAGTTTTGTATCTAAGTCTTTAATCCATCTAGAGTTGATTTTTGTATAAGGTGTAAGGAAGGGGTCCAGTTTCAGTTTTCTGCATATGGCTAGCCAGTTTTCCCAGCACCATTTATTAACAGGGAATTCTTTCCCCATTGCTTGTTTTTGTCAGATTTGTTGAAGATCAGATAGTTGTAGATGTGTGGTCTTGTTTCTGAGTTCTCTATTCTGTTCCATTGACCTGTGTGTCTGTTTTTGTACCAGTACCATGCTGTTTTTGTTACTGTAGCCTTGTAGTATGGTTTGAAGTCAGGTAGTGTGATGGTGCCAGCTTTGTTCTTTTTGCTTAGGGTTGTCTTGGCTATACAGGCTCTTTTTTTGGTTCCATATGAATTTTAAGGTAGTTTTTTTCTAATTCTGTGACGAACATCAATGGTAGTTTAATGGAAATAGCATTATATCTATAAATTACTTTGGACAGTATGGCCATTTTCACAATATTGATTCTTCCTATCCATGAGCATAGAATGTTTTTCCATTTGTTTATGTCCTTTTTGATTTCCTTGATAAGTGGTCTGTAGTTTTCCTTGAAGAGGTCCTTCATGTTCCTTGTTAGCTGTATTCCTAGGTATTTTATTCTCTTTGTACCAATTGTGATGGGAGTTCATTCATGATTTGTCTCGCTGTGTGTCTACTGTTGGTGTATAGGATGGTTGTAATTTTTGCACACTGATTTTGTGTCCTGAGTCTTTGCTGAAGCTGCTTATCAGCTTAAGAAGTTTTTGGGGTGAGATGATGGAGTTTTCTAGATGTAGGATCATGTTATCTACAAACAAGGACAGTTTGACTTCCTCTCTTCCTATTTGAATACGCTTTATTTCTTTCTCTTGCCTGATTGCCGTGGCCAGAACATCCAATGCTGTGTTGAACAGGAGTGATGAGAGAGGGCATTCTTGTCTTGTCCCAGTTTTCAAGGGGAATGCTTCCAGCTTTTGTCCATTCAGTATGATATTGGCTGTGGGTTTGTCATAAATAGCTCTTATTATTTTGAGGTATGTTCCATCAATACCTAGTTTATTGAGAGTTTTTAACATGAAGGGATGTTGAATTTTATTGAAGGCCTTTTCTACGTCTATTGAGATAATCATGTGGTTTTTGTTTTTAGTTCTGTTTATGTGATTAATTATGTTTACTGATTTACATATGTTGAACCAGCCTTGCATCCCAGGGATAAAACCAACTTGATCATGGTGGATAAGCTTTTTGATGTGCTGCTGGATTTGGTTTGCCAGTAACTTATTGAGGATTTTTGTATCAATGTTCATCAGGGATATTGGCCTAAAGTTTTCTTTTTTTGTTCTATCACAGCCAGGTTTTGGTAACAGGATAATGCTGGCCTCGTAAACAAAGTTAGGAAGAAGTCCCTCCTTTTCAATTGTTTGTAGTAGTTTCAGAAGAAATGGTACCAGCTCCTCTTTGTACCACCAGTAGAATTCAGCTGTAAATCTGTCTTGTCCTAGACTTTGTTTGGTTGGTAGGCTATTTATTACTGCCTCAGTTTCAGAACTTGTTATTGGTTTATTCAGAGATTCAACTTCTTCCTGGTTCAGGGTGTATATGGTGGATGTGGGAGGGTGTACGTGTCCAGGAATTTATTCATTTCTTCTAGATTTTCTAGTTTAAAGTATTTAGTCTTCACAAATATAAAGTAACTTTCCAAATGCCACCTAAGCAGTAGGTGATGAGTCATCTGTAAGTCTGTTGCCTAACTATAAACCTACCTCCCTGAGTAAATTCACTTTAAGGGCCCTCTATATACGATGTGCAATAATGACCATGGTGGGATCTTATTTTGAAATACTAGTCCCTTAGTAATAATCAGTGTCCAGATGACAAAATGTGTTTGATTAATATGAGGATACATTTTGGAATAAAGCCATTGAGGAGGTGTACCATCATTAGTAGCATTTATATTTATGATGTGCTTAAATATATCTTCCATAACCTATCTTTGATATGAAATCCTCTTCATAATGTGAGCACTTTAACTTTATTACCTGTCCCATGACTCTATTATATATCACTTAAAGAACAGTCCTCATAACTAGACTGAGAGGAGCATATAATAAGAATAGTATTTAAGTCAGTAATTTGCTGAGTGAAATTTTTATTACATTGTTACAAAAAAGATCTTTCCTGTAAAAGCTAGAACTCTGTGCTACATTATGGTTATCATAAATACTGGTTTTGATAAAAGTAGTGATAAAATATATTTGTAAAATACTTTATCATTCTATGTAATGTTAATTGGTATTTCAGTGCTGTATGAGCACAGATCAACATCAATTAAACAGAATCTAATTGCCCATAACAATTAGGTATACCTAGCAATGTCTTGAGGGCTGATGCTATGAGTAGAAGTAGGGAAGAACAGAAACAGAAATTTAGGAGACCTAAATTCCATAAAAAATGGTAAGTTTTGGCTGGGCATAGTGGCTCACACCTGTAATCCCAGCAATTTGGGAGGTTGAGGCAGGTGAATTGCTTGAGCTCAGGAGTTCAAGACAAGCCTGAGCAACATGGCAAAACCCCATCTCTACAAAGATTGCAAAATTAGCCAGGTGTGGTGGTACATGCCTATAGTCCCAGCTACTTGGGAGGGTGAGGTGGGAGGATCACTTGAGCTCAGGAGGCAGAGGTTGCAGTGAGCCAAGTTCATGCCACTGCACTCCAGCCAGGGCAACAGCGTGAGACTCTGCCTCAAAAAAAAAAAAAAAAAAAATTTTATCATGAGCTCAGAGTTCCCGAGAGCACTGTTATTATTCAACCAAATCATCAAGAGGTCATATAAAATTTCTGGGTCATATAAGGCTCTTGCTTTCTCCTGAAACTAAACTTGACCTGGAGTAAAAAATTGGTTTCCTTTTTTAAAAAAGCGTAAACAAATAAGGATGAGTGTTACAGGTTGAATCATATCCCTCCAAAAAGATATGTTGAAGTCTTAAATCCCAGGACCTCAGGATGTGACCTAATTTAGAAATAGGGTCAGGGAAGATGTAACCAGTTAAGATGAGGTGATACTGTATAATAGGGTGAGCCTTTAATCTGATTTGACTGGTCTCCTTGTGAGAAGACAGAGACATAGAGGGAAGACAGCCATGTGAAAACATAAACACACAGGGAGAACACCCTGTGAAGACAGAGGCAGAGATTGGAGTGATGCATCCACAAGCTGAGGAAAGCCTGGAGCTACCAGAAGCTGGAAGAGGCAAGGTGGGACACTCCCTTAGAGGTTTTGATGGGAGCCTGGCCCTGCCAGCAACTTGATCTCAGAGTTCTGGCCTGTAGAACTGAGAGAGAATAAATTTATGGTGATTTAAGCCACCTTTGGCCAGATGCAGTGGCTCATGCCTGTAATCTCAGCACTTGGGGAGGCCAAGGTGGGTGGATCACCTGAGGTCAGGAGTTCAACACTAGCCTGGCCAACATGGTGAAAACCCATGTCTACTAAAAATACAAAAAATTAGCCAGGCATAGTGACGGGCACCTGTAATCCTAGCTACTTGGGAGGCTGAGGCAGGAGAATCGCTTGAACCCAGGAGGTGGAGGTTACAGTAAGCCAAGATCACGCCTCTGCATTCCAGCCTGGGCAACAAGAGTGAAACTCAGTCTCACAAAAAAAAAAAAAAAAAAAGAAAAAAAAGCCATCTTCTTTGTAGTACCTTGTTGAGGCAGCCCCAGAAAACCTACACAATGGGAGAGGAGAAAAATACAGCAGAAATATGTGAAGCCGGAAAGCCCCTCAGAAGCATTCGTTGATTCAGCAATACCAAGAAAACTGACTTCCAAGTTCACTATGATGAAGGTCAAGAAACAATTTGAATTCCATTGCCCATTCTCCCTCTATCCCCTAAACTCAGAAATTGGTAATATGAGGTACCTATGGAAGCAGGAATGAGGGAGAGTAGAGACAGAAGGATGTACAGGTGGATAGAGAATCAAGCAAGCAGAGAAACAAAGATTGTCATTTAGCACAGGGGGCTTTTGAAGAGAAAGAGATGAGGACCCTGGAGAATTTTTTTGAGTTCTTAGAATGTAGCATTGTTTTTGCAGATATTATTTATATTAAGACCCAATAAATCCAAGTCAGGAGTAGTGAGCTAGCATGGGCAGAACTTTTGATATTTTAAATGTTTAATGGTCTGACTTAATACAATCTAAAAAGACTGGGCAAGGTAGGAAAGAAGACAAGTTGTTGAGCATGATATAACAAAAATAGTTGCATCTTAGCAACAGTGTGATTTGACAGGACTCGAAGAGGAAGTCAAATTGGAAGAAGCTGGCTTCCACGTAAATGTTCTGGTGTAGGATAGGTTTGCAGGGAAAAAGGCACCCAATTAACTCTAGGTTTTGAAAAATAAGGACAAAGACACTTGGCTATGACCAGGAATTTGTCAGTTAATTCACTTTAAGACTGCAGTGAAAGAATTACCTTATTTTACCCAAATTGGAATAAATACAAAACCTTTGAAACTTAATTTTAAGTATGAAAATTCTAACAGCAGTTTATCAGTGATTTGACTTTTTGGTTTGTCAGAATTCCCTAAGTATTTGGTGTTTTTCTTTACATAGATGTTTGTAAAAATCTACTTTGTACTTAATTCTTTTCTTATAATTACTTAATGAGGCACTTTTATTTTGAAAATAATTGGTTGTCCTCCTAGACTGTTTTCCTACCTCAAACTTGAAAACAATAACCTTAATAGTGGCTGTCAAATGAGTGAACCCAAATTTCCTTTAATGTGTTACTGGAAAAGTCTCAAATTAAATTAACCCATTAAGTATAAGCCCACAAATCAAAAAATGCCCCACTGGAATTAAGATTTTTTGCTTTTATATAATATATTTCTGTTCAATGGAAATACATGTATTTTTGCATAACTAATAGATTGTATAACTAAAAACTACCTCTATTTCTGATAAAGACCATCTGCTTTTAAAGATTTTTAATTCAGAGAAATTATGGGATAATCATATTGATGACTGATTTAATAAGGTAATATAAATGAACATTAATTTCTTATTACTTAAAAAGGATCTTGAAATTAAAACCCCAGATTTGTAATTTTCTCCCAGTAGTCTCTCAGAAGATTCATGAAGCCAAATTGCATGTTAATTAGGACAATGTAAATATTTCTAATTGTGCATAAAAACTTTGTGTCTAGAAGAATTCAAATAACGCAAACTAAATTTAATCCCCATATTATAGTATTATAGCTTGTTTTTAAATTATCTATTTGTCCATCCATTTATATCTTAGACGGCCAGAACAAAAAAAAAATATGTTTGTGTGTTTTAAGTTTGACATTTCTCAAAATAAATGGAGCTCATTTTAACTGGTAAATGTGGTATTCAAGAAACACCTTAGATTTTGAAGAATTGGTTCACATGGAAAAAATACCACTATTTTGGTGGTTCATTTTTCCTTCAGAGAGCAGTTCTAATGCTAACTCTTTTTCTTCACAATGCCCCATTTTCAAACCGTGTAGTTTAAAAAAGTGAATTTAGGTCAAGGGCTATTTTGAAAATCAAACAGGGTCACTAATTCTCCCACAGAATTATAACTAGTTGTGTAGTGAACCAGTTTTCATAAATGTTGACTGGATGGCATATATGTCTTTATTCAGGTATTATAATGTTAATGCTTCTTTTAGTTGTAGGTTATGTTTATTTCAAAAAGATAGCATTACTTCACCTGCTGACTTGATGTTGTTCTTTTTTTAAAAGAATGCATTTCCTTTGAACTATAGAGTAATTTGTGTTCAAAAGAGGCTTGGCTACATAAATCAGAAATTCAGACTCAAATTTCCGTAACAAACTTCAGTAACTGTTCAGTTTACTGAAAAGTTAAATGGAAAACAATTTACTTACAAAAATGTGATGAATATTACATTGAAAGAACCATGACCTACTGGGACATATACAAAGGTGAAGCTAATATATAATAATTTCCATACATGCCAAATGATGCATTTTAAAAAGAGGAAAATATCAACTTTTTTACCACCAGATTTAAAAGCTAAAATTGTTTACAATAAATTCCTGTGAAGATACATGTTCCCAAATATTAATGTCAAATTCAGTCTTCATCAAATATGAACATAGATGTGCAATTTTTTTTCAAACAATGGCAATGTTTCAACTCGCCATCACTAAATAGGTTATTTCATTGTTTTGGAAGTAGGGTGGATTTATTCTACTCAGTTTTCACGTTCTTATTGTGTTCAGCTCTTCCTTAGGATCAGTGTTTTCCTAGCGAAATAGTTGTACTTAGGCAGCTTCTAGGTACAGACTAATGATAGCTAGTCCTCATATAGTGCTTTCTGTGTGCCAGGCACTTTGAAGCCTGTTATACATATTATTACAGGTTATTCTCCGAACAACCCACAAGATAAGTATTGCTATTATCCCCATTTAACACAGAAAGGTCAGGTGACTTGCCCAACCTTATGCAGCTGTTAAGTAGCAAAGACTCAATTCAGATCCAAGTACTCTGGTCCATAAGACTGTGTCCTGATTCATAATACTGCAGTCCAAGATTTTAAAGCGATAGCTGTATGGAGTTATTCACTCACAGCCCTATCATTAAAACTACTGATTTCACTAAACTGAGCTAAGCATGGAAGAGGGAGGCAGAGTCTACTCTGATGTACCATGCAACTAAGGGAACTAACCAAATACATAATCATGTATTTGTAGAATTCATCCAGTGACCTGTTTAAAACACCCTATTATTTCAAGGACGTTGACCATGATAAAAGAGAAAGAAAGGAGTAACTAGAAAGAGACCCCTAAATCTCACAATTGAAATCATCAAAGGTACTAAATGTTTTAAGTCAAAACAGAAGAAGAGAGTACTTGAGCCTATTTTGATTTTAGTCACAGAGGCATAAATTACTTATGTTGTATCTGACAGTTACAACAATTGAACTGTTTTCAGATCCCTCAAATCAATTAAAAATAAACATTATGGATAAGAGTTAATCAATAAACATGTCATCTAGTGCTTGATCACAGCCAACTGTCTGAAGAACTGAAAGAACTGGCATTATCCTTCTTTCTGGAGGTGAACACTGCAGGGCAGGGATAGCAAATGGGTTTTAGTTACTGCGCCAGCTTCAGTAGCTTGCTAGGGCTGCCCAGGTGCCCAGGGAGCTGTGCTGCAGAGGGTTCTGAGGCTGCATCCAGAAACCAAAGGGAAAGAAGCTGCATTGAATTACCAGCAGTTACCAGGATATTTGTCATCCTGGTTATTAGGTAAAATATCTTAATTCCAATAATTATGAAAAGAGTCCTCCAATTTAATGTGTAGCACTAGTCTAATTCTCTTTACTTCAGCTTGGCTTTCAGAGGTGGTAATTATTTATTTATACAACTCTGCCTCTGGAGGTTGTTATCAGGACATGATTTGCTTGTAATTCAGTGTCCTTTAAGTGAAGGTATTATGGATGTATAGAACATTTTAATCATTCAAGGTAGCATCATAAGCCCTGTTAGGAAAATAAACAATTGAGGAAACTAACCTCAAAAGATGAGTGCCTTTCTGTTGTACTTCTGAAGAAGTTTTAGTTCTAGAAAAAGAGTATTTTATTTCCTCAAAGAAGGAAAGCATAATATGAGTACTCATGGCACACATGCTTCAGAAATAATCACCTATTTGCAATAAAATGACTGGGTTGGAATTTTACTATATATACATAATAGGGTGATGGAAATTCCTTACATTGTTTCTTCTGGTGCAACTATTTGAATTTAGTGAGACAATCACATCCTATGAATAAGTCTCACTGTCATAGACTTCTTCAAAAGTGTTGACATTAGAATAAAATTAGTAATGAGTTAACTGTTGAAAATTATTCAGCATCTGGGCCTTAGAGTTGCCAAGAACCAAAGTGTGCTTTGGTTGTTGGCTGAAATTCTGGAGCAGATGAAGGAGGAAGAGGAAGAAGAGCAGAATCCCATGCCAACATCAGATGAGCAAGGTGCTAAAATGACTAATGGGATGAAGTTACATACAGTACCTTTAACTCAGCAAGCATTTCTGTTTCATGGTGCTAACTACAAAAGGAAAAAAAAAATACCCAGTAACTTTTAAGTTTAATCTTTAAAGATACAACTGTAAACAATTTTGGCTAGAAATTCAGAACTTTCTTCATACCGATGAATGTGATTTTGTGAGTGCTATGGTTTGAATGTTTGTCTCCTCCAAAATTCATGTTAAAATGTAATCCCCAATGTGACAGTATTGAGAAGTAGGGCCTTTAAGAGGTAATTGAATCATGAGGGTTCTGCCCTTATGAATGCATTAATCCCATGCATGGATTAATAGACCAATAGATTATGTAGACAGTGAAGCTGGTAGCTTAATAAGAAGAGAGATCTGAAATGGGCTCGTTAGCATGCTAAGCTTCCTCACCATGTGATACCCTGCACTGCCTCAGGACACTTCAGGAAGTCCCCACCAGCAAGAAAGCCCCCACCAGCAAGAAAGCTCTTGCCAGGTGTGATCCCTTGACCTTGGACTTCTCAGCCTCCACATTGTAAAAAACAAATTCCTTTCTTAATAAATTACCGTGTTTTAGGTGTTCTGCCATAAGCAACAGAAAATAGACTAAGATAATGACCATGTAGGTTATGGCACATTTATCAATAGGCAGCAGCAAGTTGTCCAGTTTAATGAACATGAGGTTCAGTCTTGAACTTTGCTAGTCCTCACAGGAAAGCAAAAGTTGGCTCAAATTATGCTAGTTCTTCAGCAGGCACTATTTCCACCAGGGGTTACTAATTGCTCTGCTTTGGTGCCAGTTTACAACCATTGCTCCCAGAACAGCCCATGATGAGGGCTGTGGCATGCTGGGCATCTTAAGGGGTCATTCCTGGGCATCATTTTATCAATAAAGAACTCTTAGAATTACTATTTTCATCTGGATTCCTGGTGTTAATACGCCTTCTCAAGTTTCTGTGCCATTACACATGGAATTTCCTCAACTGTAAATAATATTCTCCTTCTTCTTTTCTATAAAAATTCCATTAATCATTGAAAACTAAAGACTAAACCTAAGGGACAAGTGAAATAGATACTTTTCTCCTAAATCTGGCAAAGGCTTTTGCTTTCAAGTCACTCCAGGGTGGGAGTCTCTGCTACTGTCATATAAATGGCACAGTTGACTCTTGAACAACACAGTGGCCCAGGGGTGTCATGCAGTCAAAAATTCACAGCTAATTTTTGACTCCCCCAAAACTTAACCACTAATGGTCTACTGTCGATCAGAAGCCTTACTGATAATACAAACAGACAATTAACACATATTTTGTATATGTGCTGTATATGGTATTCTTATAATGTAGAGAAAAGAAAATGTTATTAACAAAAATCATAAGGAAGAGAACATATATTTACTGTTCATCCAGTGGAAGTGGATCATGTGGATCACCATAAAGCTCCTCATCTTCATTATCTGTCTTCAAGTTGAGTAGGCTGTGTACGTGAAGGAAGAGGAGAGGTTGATCTTGCTGTTTGTTTCAGGAATGGTAGAAGCAAAAGACATGGGGGAGGTAGAAGGGAAAGCAGGAGAGGCAGGCAGAGTCCCTGTAATTATTTTTAATTAAAAAAATATTTTTTTAAATTTTTGAGATAGTTTCCCCTTGTTGCCCAGGCTGCAGCGCAATGGCTGGAGCACAATGGCACGATCTCGGCTCACTGCAACCACCCCCTCCCGGGTTCAAGCAATTCTCCTGCCTCAGCCTCCCAAGTAGCTGGGATTACAGGCATATGCCACCACACCCAGCTAATTTTTGTGTTTTTAGTAGAGATGGGGTTTCACCATGTTGCTCAGGCTGTTCTGGAACTCCTGACCTCAGGTGATCCACCCGGCTTGGCCTCCCAAAGTGCCGGGATTACAGGCGTGAGCCACCATGCCCAACATTTTTAAAATTTTCAATAGTTTTGGGGGTACAGGTTTTTGGTTACATGGATAAGTTCTTTAGTGGTGATCTCTGAGATTGTAGCGCACCTGTCACCTGAGCAGTGTACACTGTACCCAATATGTAGACTTTTATCCCATACCCCGACTCCCAACCTTCCCCTACAAGTTCCCAATTTCCATTATATTATTCTTATGCCTTTGCGTCATCATAGCCTAGCTCCCACTTATAAGTGAGGACATAGGATATTTGGTTTTCTGTTCCTAAGTTACTTTGCTTTTATTGAAAAATATGCATATAAATAAATGGACCAGAGCAGTTTAAACCCATGTTGTTCAAGGTCAATTGTATATATGCTAATTGTATTTGCTTAAATGCAAGTCTGGTCTTGGTAATTGATTTGCTCCAAAAGATAAAGGAAAAAAAAAGGAACTAGAATATTTTATAGGTGTAATTTACAAAAAGACTTTATCTTCTGCATACAAATTGTGGTTACTTGTGCATACCACTTTTCATCATTAGATAAACTAAGATGAAAGCTCCAGTTTAAAAAATAGTCTGTTTTCAAATATAATTGTTCGATCAGGCTGGAGCTCTTTTGTTGGCAAAGGGGAGAGAGGGACATTTCAATGTGTTTTTCTGCACTCCATAAGACTATAGCTCTTTATTTTTTTAAATTAAACTATCTTTAAATAGGCCAAAATTTTGGCTTTACATTATAGGGC
This sequence comes from Homo sapiens, assembly GCF_000001405.40. Lineage (NCBI taxonomy): Eukaryota > Metazoa > Chordata > Mammalia > Primates > Hominidae > Homo > Homo sapiens. The sequence continues at coordinate 76,524,495 of NC_000013.11, read as the reverse complement.
ATGGCACAGTTTTGTTAAGTACACCCTTGCCTTGATGTCCTCAGAGCATTGTTTAGAAAATTACTTTTACTGGCACATTTCCTCTTTCACAGCACCCTTGAGAAAATTGCTACATGGAAATGGGAGGGTAATAACCCAGTCTCTTCCTAGAATTCTTAGGAAACTATTTTCAAAGACAGATTTAATTAACAAAGGATACTAACTCATACACATACAAATATTTTGTTAGTAAGAGTCTAACCATGTGATGTCATTGGTATTACTTTCACACCATTAATAGACTTTGGGGAGGACTGCAAGTAAGACAGTGGTCTGGTCTAGGAGTAGAGTTGCTGCTGAGTAATCACCTGCCTGGTGGGCCGGAGCACATTCCTGGAGGTTCTTGATTTTCAGACTTTTAACAGCTGGTAATTTGCTGTCGAGTCACAAGGGATTGTAGAAAAAGCAGTTTTGTTTCTTCTTGAACAACAACAACAAAAAAACTTCTCTTCTTTGAAATATTTTTCTGAGCTTTTTTTTTTTAAATTCAGGAATAGTAGTCATATTGAAAGAGATAGTGGTTTGCCTTTTGTATTTCATTTTACTATTTACACAGCACATTCCTACATTTAATTCTCATAACTTATGAAATATGTTTCATTATTAGGCACCAATTAAATTGGCTATAGAGCTTACACTGATTTTTCCAATGGCCATGTCTTTGCTAATCCCATCCTTTCTATTGGAGAATTGGTTTCTTTTTCCATCTCTGGTTCACAAGATCCAATATTTTTTGATGACCCATACTCTCTGGCTTAGCAATTGTCAAGGACTGGTCATGGTTTAGCAATTATTAGGGATTGATCGTGTGGCCCAACCCAATCAAAATCCTTCCTTGGAATTTTATTTTGTAATATCAAATGTGAGCATGGTGGGCAGGTCAGTAAGTGGATATGAAGTAATTTTAGAGCTGTTGACAGTCATGTCCCCAACAGGGCGGCATAAGCCTCTTTCAGAGAATAAAATCTACATGCAGAGAGAGACAGATAAACTATGGAGAAAGACCCCACCTGCAGTTTGGTTCCATAAGCCAATTAATTACCCTTTATGTGCTCAAGTCATTACTACCACTGAAGCGAATTGATACAATACTAATTTCCAATTTAAACTTAAGAAACTGAAATCTTGTCAATGTAAATGACCTTTCTGAGATGTTAAAATGTGTTTATTTTTTTCTTCCCTTTTAGACTCGTTTCTATCGAACTGCTCTTTCAGTTGTGCCACTGATGTAAATAGAAGGAAGTTAAAGAATAAAATGCTCGTTATTTTGACTCAAGGCTCTTTCAACCTGCCATTCATTGATACTATACAGTGTTTCTCCTGTAGCTAGGGGAAGGTTACCTGAAAGTGTTTTCTCACATATGAATATTAGGAAATGTGTCGATATAAGGCAAAACATAGATTCTCCCAAATAAAAATTTTATCGCTTGAAAACATTACACATTTTACACTGATTTTATTTCCCTCTTTGTTTGGTCAAACAAACCTTCAGCTTACCTTTAGCAACTGTGCAGAACTGGACAGTATACATTTTCTACTATTCATCTCCCCTTGTTTATGTTTTGTGCATCTATTTTGTCATCAAGTTTTGATTTTATTCCTTTTGTATTATGTGCATTTGTATAAATAAGAAAATAAATGAAATAAAAAGTAATAAGTAAGTAATTTATATTTCAGTGGAGTAGCTTGGTATGCTTTTTTCCAAACTTCCACTAAGTACTGTTGAAAACAGATAAACGCAGAAACTAGCAATGGCACTTCAAGTTAAAGATCGGGGAAGGCCCTCTGTGAAGCCTTTTTCCTTCCATGGGCCAGAACTTGCATTAACAGCATATCTTTGGGAGGCATATATTAAGATTCTTAGATAATATGGCATGTGTTTTACTCTCTGAATAGGAAACATATGAGTGGTCAGTATTGAGATAGGAAAGGACTTTGGCATCTCATAATTTTCTGCTAACTATTAGAAATGGTGACTGATAGAAACACTGAGTTGAAAATAGCTATCATATAACTGCTTAGGATCAATTTTTCTGAGCAAGACAGCAGCAGGAGAACCTGTGTTTCTAATTTCTCTTCACTTATCTCTCAACACATAGTGATAGAGGCAAGAGGCAGACAAATGCCTAGGCAGATAAGGAAGGGTCCCTGGAGAATCTCCAACCTGCTCTATAAGTATTTATGCCAGATGTTTTTGTTCAGAAGAGGGAATCTGCATAGGGTCTTGTCTGGGCATGCCTGCAACTGCCTGGAGGCCCACAGGCACTGGGGGAATGGGGTGGAGCCATCAGGAATTCGTGCCTTATTCAGGGGGAGGAGCCTGGCCTCTTCAGCTCGTGAGCAGTGGCCTGGTATTCAATCTGTGAGGTGGGACCCTGTTAGTAGGACCCCCTCTTTCTTTGCCGAGAGCTTTCTTTTATGCTTAATAAATCCGTTCTCCTCACCCTTCAATGTGTCCCCGTGCCTAATTTTTTCTGGTCGTGAGACTAGAACCCGGTTTTAGCTGAACTAAGGAGTAAAAAATCCTGCATCAATAGGACCAACAGCTTTTCTCTTTCTTTTTTTTTTTTGAGACGGAGTGTCACTCTCGCCCAGGCTGGACTGCAGTGGCGTGATCTCGGCTCACTGCAAGCTCCGCCTCCCGGGTTCACGCCATCCTCCTGCCTCAGCCTCCAGAGTAGCTGGGACTACAGGTGCCCGCCACCACGCCCGGCTAATTTTTTATATTTTTAGTAGAGATGGGGTTTCACCATCTTAGCCAGGATGGTCTCGATCTCCTGACCTCGTGATCCGCCTGTCTCGGCCTCCCAAAGTGCTGGGATTACAGGCGTGAGCCACCGCGCCCGACCCAGCTTTTCTCTTTCTTAATCCATTCAGAGACCACATCAACCAGTGGCCAGAATAGCAGAAGTGTTTTGCATCTTGGGATGCTTAGATACCTAAAGAAGATTTTCACTGGCCCTGTTCATCTTTTCATATTATATTCCTGTTGGTCACTGTCCAGCCTAAGAATGAGTAGGTCTTAGATAACAAGCTGACTCCTGGTCCATTTAATTAGCCATCTCTGGAAGGAGGTTATAGGGTACAGAGCCTCACTGTGGGCAGTAGGGCCTATGAGCAGGTAGTTAACCTCACAAAAGGGTATGAGTATGGCAGACATTTTGAAGATTGCCTAGTTCAGCACAAAGGCATATTTAATTTATTATACCTCTTTCTTCCTTTATGAAATCCTTAAGGGTAAGAATTTACCTCATTATGAGTTTTTCTATATACTTTGTGTTCATATAAACTACAGTATTATTTTCTAAATACTTTGTAATTATTTTAATTTCCTTTTTTACCCACTAGTTTGCAGAAGGGGTTTCTAAATCTTCAGATATGTTTTAAAATTACACATTTAATGTTGATTTCTAGGTATTTTGTACTGTAGTTAGAGTATAGTATGAAAAAAATATACTTGTAGAATTTCTTGAGGTTCTTTTGTGATTTCAAGTAGGGTATTTTTGGATAAATAATACAATTTTTTTTCTCCATAATCTCTTACACACTGAAAGTACTCTATTTAAATAGCTTGCCTATCTTTTGTTTTGTTCATTTCTTTCTTTCTTTCCGTTGTTCCATATATTTTAATGCCATGCTATTTGTTGCACCCAGGTTTACATTTATTTTACTATATATGCTTTTATGAACATATAATTATTCTGTTTGGCCTATTTAGTGCATTTGGCATCAAATTCTGTACTGTTACCTTTTTAAATATACCTTCATTATTCCTTTTATTTTAAACTTCTGAGGCATTTTGTTTTAAGCACTTCTTTAAAACAGCACATGTTTGGAATATCTGGAAACTTAATTCCGATATATTTTCTTCATAATAGACTTTTAAAATTTGTTTTTAACTGAAGAAAATATTAATATATACCCAATCCTTCACTGGTTAAATACTCACTAATGAGCAAAATAATTAGAAAAGGGTAATATGTTAGAATATCTGAACATTAAAAAGCATGTATTGAAAAATAAGCCATGAAAACAGACAAACCACTGGAAAGTGTGACCAAAACACTAACCTAAACTAAACACAATTACAAAATTTTAAGATAAGAAAATGAATATAACTAGAAATGTGGAGAAGACTGAAAAGAGTGAAGTGTATACTTTATTCTTTCTGGATAACTTTATGGCAATGAATTGGAAAGTATATATAGAATGGAGAGATATAGAATGCTTCTGAGCAATAGTGTAAAATGTCAATATTCCTAATAGAAATTCATAATTTTTATGTAATTCCTGTTGTATACAATTGTAAATTGTTTGGAAATTTCCAGTGGAAAAATAAATAGGTAAAACAATCATAAACTTTTTTTCTCCTCTTTGAATACATTTGAAATATTGTTACCAGATGGAAAGTCTCGACTGAGAGTTGTCCAGGTTCTTGGTATGTTGAACAAAGAATTGAACAAAATGCACAAACAAAGCAACAAAAGAACAAAGCAGAACAACGAAAGCACAGATTTATTGAAGTGAAAGTACACTCCACAGAGGGGGAGCAGGCCCGAGCAAGCGGCTCAAGAGCCCTGATTGCAATGTTCTTTAGGGTTTTTGTTGAACTAAAAGAATTTGTTAACACCCTGAGGTACCCTTTAGAGACCTCCTATTGGTTACACACTATGTGAATGAAGGATTGGCCTGCAACCGATCAGAGGCTGAAGGGAAGGCTCGGCTGGCGGATGAATTAGAGGCATTTTCTGTTTCTGACACAGGATAGAAGGAGTTTTGTAGAGGGAGGTGTCTCTGGTCCCTTGTCACTTGGGGATGGAGAGGTGGGGTTTTCCTTTCAGTCCAAATCTAAGAAGTCAGCAGCAGGTTGACCTTAGGCTTTCTGTCTCCAGACCCTATTCTCCTGCCTCAGTATGAAAACCAATTGCAACAAACAGCAAGTGTGCAACAGTTTTTGGCTATGTGAATTCATGAGAGAATAAATATTACTTGCATTATCTGGTATTAAGACAGAGTAAAAAGACAAAGTGGTTACAACAAGATGGTGCTGGTCTCAGTGTCATACCAGCATTCTACGTATGCATGTTTAATAGAATATGAGATAGGTTTATTTAAATAGAAAATAATAGTTATCTTAAAAGCTAGGACAAATCTTGACATGTTATCATGGGAAGAGGGCTGTGAATTACTGATAAGTGACAAAGCTATTAAAAGACATAGTACAAGAGTAACTAATACTCATTGTTTACCATGTATTAAGCACTTTCCTATGTGCTTTTCTAAATTGATAGTGAAAACAATATTATAAAGTAGATATTATTTTCTCAGTTATAGATAGCAAAGAACAAGGTCAAAGAGGTTAAGTTGTGTAGGATGAATAAGTCTAGAGGTTTAAGGTACAGCAGAAGGACTGTAGTTAATATTACATTGTATATTAAAAATTTGCTAAGAGTAGATTTTAGGTGTTCTAATGCAAAAAAAGGTACATATGGAAAGTGATGGACATGTTAATTTGTTTACTTCATTTCACCATGGATATGTATATCAAAATATCATGTTGTATGCCTTAAATTTATACAATAAAAAATAAATGTTGTAGAAAAGAAATCAGCCAAGAGGCCTGGGAAGGAGCAGCCAAGGTTTATGTTAAGTTCTAACCCCAAGAGCCAGGTGATAATATGCCAACCAAGAAGGCAGGAGGCTCAGGAATCATCACAGAGCCTTACCACATCCATGGAGCCTCTTACAACCACGAGTCTCAGTAGATGCACTTCTTAAATGCACCAAACATCGAGTCAGCTTGAAGGGCTTAATTTTACTACTTCTGGTCACTCAGTCTGTGTTCTCCAAATCAATCTTATCAATTCCGTTCCCAGTTAGTTGTAAAAGAAGTAGTTACTACAGTTACTTAAATTATTATTATTATTATTTTTTAAATAACGTTAACAGATCAGAGGACACTTTCTGCAAATCAATTTAAGCTGGGGACTTGCAATTTGAGTACGCTTCAAGATAAACTTTTCCCCCTACTTTCACCTTGTGTGTTTTTTTTCTTCATTTTCTCCACACATTGTCAGTGTGAGATGTCTATTTGTGGATTTGAAAGGAATCTTTACTGGAGCAGAAGAGATGGCTTTCTCCGTAAGAAGAGGAACTCTGCACGGCTGGAAAGTGGGCTGTCTTAACCACTGTCATATAACACTCTGTGACTTGGACATAGTCAGAAAAGCATCTGGAAATCTGTAAATAACCACTGAAATTTTTGATTCAGTTCACACTAGAAACTCTCCCCCTCCCTTATCAATGGATATTTGTTGGCATTTGTTTAAAATTATAAATTGGAGCTAATAGATTCAGCGACTATCTTTTAAACAAAGGGAAGTTACTTCCATTATTTTCCTGTCGGGGTGGGTGGGGAAATAGTCAGAAATAGAATGGTACTTCAAGTACCTTGAGAACTATTATTATTAATATTCTGACTCACAATCAAAGGCCACCAAGAATAACAGCTCCAACTCTGAATAACAGTTAAAATCCTAGAAAAGGGCTAAAGGAAGAAGCCAACGAATGGAATTTTCTAAACAACTCAAAACGGGAAAGAGAGGGGAAAACTTGGAGAATCCTGTCAGTAATAGAAATCAGAAAACAACTGGCATTCGTCAGATTTAATTTCTGCAAACCAACCAGTGTCCTGGAAATCAGACATTTACTCAGCAACTCTGTAGTAAGCACCATGTATGACTTTTGAGGAAATGAGCAAGGACATAAATACATTTAAAACATAATATATGCATATTTATAATAATACCTGAAAACATAAATGTTCTAGAGTTTGCCTTAGGTGAAGACTACATAATGCAGTTTCAAGGGTTAAGAAATCTCCACTAACAATGAAGAACGTTTCCCACTTTCTGTTTACTACATCTGAAATTGATTTATGAGCACATACCCTAAGGCTTAAAATTAAGAACTTCTGGAGAGAGGTAACTCATTAGTGTAAGGAATATATGCATGATACTAATGTTTTCTATTATGGGAGGGTCATAAGGTAGGAGGACAGAAAATAATAAAGAGCCTTTAGCAATAGTAAGTTCACAGAACGAAACTTCAACTCTTTCACAATTTTGTACAAACCTGGATGTGCATATATCTAGTTTATCTCAGCTGTAAGAATGGTTTTAAAAATGAACACGTTTTCTTACTTTTTGTTTTCTTCTGTTCTTTTTTTGAGAATCTAGCAAATCCATAAATGCTGCCACGAGAAAAAAGTGTTCCTATGTGCATTCATCTGTAATTTGGGGGACAATTTCAGGGATTCAAAGACTCTCTGAAATCTATCTAAGATGGCAGGTTAAGGACAAGTAATCAAAGCATTTGTTGGCATCATTAGAATAATGGGGTGTTTGTTAGAAATTCTGAATGTGACAAGCACTTTCATGTCAGTTGGGAAAGGAGGCATGAAAAAAGTCTGGAAATATAATTCCTGTGTGGTGTCCAGAGTGAGTTGATTTGTCTGGTGTGAAATGTGCAAATGAATAAAACAGAAGACAAAAATAAAAAAATCATAACCAGTACCCTGGTCAAGCATAATTTGTAGAATGCAAGTCACAGAAAAAAATGTGTTTCCTTCTCTCACTGGTCTCTTAGGCTGCTCAGTGAGCTAGATATTCCCCTGCCCATGCATGAAAAAGGGAGGTTACAGGACATTGCAGAATGGAAGCCAAAGGCTTAAGATCACTTTCAATCACAAAATAGTCTCATTTGGTACTTAAAAGTACTGAATGTCTCTTATATAGAAGTTAATGCTTCTAATTTCTGCTGGCTGAGGGAAAAGGTGAGGGGGTTGACATGAGCTACAACCTGCTTTGATTCTCTTCCCCACCCAGCTCACTAACCCTGATGTCTGATAGCTCTGAAGTTAGAATATTGAAAGTGAGGGGATATAGGGGTATGAGAAAGTTCTTGCTCTTGTAAACCATCTTCATGCTAGGTCTGTGTCAGGCAGGTTCAAACTCACTTTCTTCTTAGGGGTGGGACCCCTGCTTCTTCATTGCTAGAGATCTTTTATTAGCAGTTCCCTTGATGTGCATAAGGAACATTTATCTGGCTCCTCATTTTCTCTCCTTTCATAGTCCCTAGGAACCCTGAACTTCCCTCTTTACAGGACAGTTCCTCAGCATGCCTCCCCTGTGACCCTTTCTCCCCTGTGGTCTCTATTCTAATCATGGGCAGGAGTCATCATTCCTTTGCCCTGATGCATTTTTTTGGCTCAACACAGCAACCCTATTTCTTACTTCCGCTGCTGGGGTAGCTGGCTGGTCTGCCTTCTGCTTGCTGCAATTCTCAGGCAGGATTCAGACTCAAGATATTAAAATTCCCCAGTTGCAGGAGTCCCATTTGAAGCTGAGTGGTCCTGTGGAAGTTGAGGTGATGAAAGCACTCACTCCATTCCTCCTTCTAGGTAGTGGTGAATGGCTCTTCGTACACTGGCAACTCTGTCTACAAGGTCTTTCTCACAAATTCTCTCTGGACATTTTATATTCTCGGTGAGGAGGAAGTACTGAATATTATCTTGAGCATCTAGAGTTTTGCAAGTTCTATTGATTGATTAGTTCAACTTACAACCCATTTTTGAATCAGACATCCGTCATTGTAGGCTAAAAATGAGACAAACTTTTCACCTGACAGAAAATAAAAACATATATGGTTTTGCAGAAAAGAAAACAAAAAATTAAAGCATAATTTTAGGCAAAAATTTATGAATCATTACATATGGCTTTTATTTAACAAATTTAACAAACACTGTTGCTGCTTTTCCAAGAACTTTATAGACTAACACAGTCTTAAAAATGATCAACTTCATGATGCAAGCACTATCATTTTAATCTCCATTTTCAAGTGAGTAAACTGAGGTATAGAGAAGCTAAGTAACTTGTCCAAGGTCACATGACTGGTAAATGATAAATCCCAGATTCAAACACAGGAAGTCTGGCTCCAGTATGATTGGTCCTAGCAATTATGCTATACTTCTTCTCAAGGTTACTGGAGGCCCTACAGAATTCTTTAATTAATTAATTTATTTATTTTTTTGAGACAGAGTTTCACTCTTGTTGCCCAAGCTGGAGTGCAATGGCGCAATCTCGGCTTACCACCACCTCCACCTCCTGGGTTCAAGTGATTCTCCTGCCTCAGCCTCCCGAGTAGCTGGGATTACAGGCATGCACCACCATGCCCAGCTAGTTTTGTATTTTTATTAGAGACAGGGTTTCTCTATGTTGGTCAGGCTGGTCTTGAACTCCCGACCTCAGGTGATTCACCCGCCTTGGCCTCCCAAAGTGCTGAGATTACAGGCATGAGCCACTGGCCCGGCCAGCCCTGCAGAATTCTTATAGGAGAAAGTATATTTCTTCTCAATCTTTATTCCAGAGCCTCTAGTTTCAACCATTCTCTTGCCACCACTCTCAAATGCTTTGTTTCCCTGTAGCTCTGTCCTTCTCTCACCTGACAAATCAGATCACATCAGTTTTCTACCTAAAATCTTTTAGTATGTTTAAATTACCAAGACCAGATTTCTTAGTGATGCATAAAAAGCCTTTCATATTGCAGTTTCTTTTAAACTGCCCAAATTTATTCTCTGTCGTTTTACCACAAACACCGTGCTCTGTCATGCAAACCTACTTGCCCTGTGTCCTCAACATGCTAATGCCATTTACTTTCTCTATATCATGTTATCCACATGGAAATATATCTCTCATGTATACCTCTATAGTCCTCAACCTACAAATGGGTTGATTTTTCTACAAAGCTACCTTTGACCCTCTTGTTCATCCATCCATCCATCCATCCATCCTTTCATGTATTCATCACATATTTACCAAGTGCCACAGGTTTCAGTGTTTCAGGTGCTGAAATACAATGGTGACCAAAGCAGATACAAATCTGCATTCATTCTATGCTATTCTCTTTATCCCCAGAAATACATACATTTAATTTCTTAATGCAGCATTGTGTAATAGTTTGTGGACATCTCTGTCCTCCACTATGATCTGAGATCCTCCAGGACCTCCAAAAAGGTCTTTCAAGCAACATTACCTGCATATCCTCAGGTGCCTAGTAGATCTCTTATCACATATTTGATGGTTAAGTGATGGATTATTAAGTAATACATGCATATATTAATGAGAGGTAAATGAATGGATGAATCTAAGAAAACTGTTCTTGCTACTTTTGTATTATTGTTTGATGGAGTTAGGAGTTGCTACTAGGCTCGGCACTTTGGGAGGCCAAGGTGGGCGGATCACTTGGGCCAGACCTGATTGGGCAACATGATGAAACCCCTTCTCTACAAAAAACACACAAAAAATTAGCCAGGCATTGTGGCACGTGCCTGTAGTCCCAGCTACTAGGGAGGCTGAGGTGAGAGGGTCACTTGAGCCTGGGAAGTTGAGGCTGCAATGAGCTATGATCATGCCACTGCACTCCAGCCTGGGCAACAGACTGAGACCCTGTCTTAAAAAAAAAAAAAAAAAATAGGAAAAAGAAGTTAGTACTAGGGGAATTGATGAGGAAGTTGTTTTTGGAGTCTAGGTTCAAGGGTTTACAGTCTGGACTGATTTTCTCACAGCTGTGGGAATAAAAGTGGTGGAACCAGAAAAGAGTTTGCCTTGATGGGAAAAGTGTAAATGTGATTCTCTCTGAAGGCTAGCAGAGTGCTGCCTGTCAGTTTTAAGACTTGCTTTGCCATCCAGAAAACTATTTTTTTTTTTTTTTGAGATGGAGTCTTGCTCTTGTCGCCTAGGCTGGAGTGCAGTGGTGCGATCTTGGCTCACTGCAACCTCCGCCTCCCTGGTTCAAGCGATTTTCCTGCCTCAGCCTCCCCAGTAGCTGGGACTATAGTTGTGTGCCACCACCACTCCCAGCTAGTTTTTTGTATTTTTAGTAGAGGCAGGGTTTCACCATGTTGGCCAGGCTGGTCTTGAACTCCTGACCTCAAGTGATCCGCCCACCTTAGCCTTCCAAAGTGTTGGAATTACAGGCATGAGCCGCTGTGCCTGGCCCAGAAAACTCTTGAATTGATCAACATGGAAAATCCTAGCAAAGACAGGCAAAAAGTAAAAATAGATTTTTAAAGTTTTTCCGGAACTTATGATTTCATTTTTTTCTATTAAAGGTTACATGCTCAGTTTCTATTTCAAGGGACTCCAATAAAATATTTTGATATCTGAAGACAAAATCAATAAAACACTCTACTATGCCAAGTTACCCATAGTCTTTTCAGGAAAAATGAATTGCATACTCAAATAAATTAAAGGGAAGTATATTTAAGATGTTCCTGTTCTTAGTTAATGTGAGTCTATGTTGACATGTGAGTTAAGCACTTAGATTGACTTTCAGCACATTTTCTTAAATCCGTCATCTGGATTCCCAGAGAAACCTGTATTCTTTGTTAGATTCTTTTATGCTTATCTAGTAAAATAAATAAAATAATGCTTTCTTTGATGTCACTGTATCAAGGATTAAATTTCCTCTAAGGAAATTATTCATATCCCTTCCACAATATGGTGAAAGCAATGAGTCACCTGCCATTGACCTTCACATGTTTATGTGTACTTATCTAAACCACACATCTGTTCTTTATTTTCCAATGAAGGGACCATATGCCCCTTGAATCACATATAAGAGCATAGTGTTCTAAAACAAACACACTGAAGTTAATTTAGGGGATAAAATGAACTTTGAAGAGGATTCACATTCAATGCTCTAGCTGTTAAAAAAAAAAAAAAAAAAAAAAAGCAGAATTTATTCCTAACCTCAAGAGTGAGATTTCGTCTCTTCTCCCTAGTACTCCAGTGAAAAAAACAGTTTAATAAACTATTTAAGAAAGCTAAAGAGTTAGTATTCAATACTAACTCTTGAATAACTCTTCAGATAACTCTTGAAATATTTTCTCAAACTTAGGATTTTAACTTTAGAAGCTAGCCAATTACAGCCTTAGAAAAATATCAGCTATAGGTTTGAAACTTACAAGTAAATAAATATTAAAAAATAGTATTTTATGTTGGAAAAACTCTACTTTTAAAAAACTACATTATTTACTTTCCTATGCTCCTTATAACAATTTATTAAGGTAGAATGGACTATTATTATCTTGCTTCTGCAAATGAGAAAACTAAGGCTCAAAGAGTTTAAACAAATAGCCTGATTTGATAATGACAACACATAAGACAGAACTTAAACCCAGGTCCTCTTCCAAATATGATGTTGAAAAACACAGTGATGGTTCAGAAAACCGAAGTGTAATCTTTTAGGTCACATGAAGATGTTTGTTCTCAACAAATACAAGGCATAATCATTGAGGCATATATCCATGATCTATCTATCTATCTATCTATCTATCTATCTATCTATCTATCTATCTATCTATCTACCTACCTACCTATCAACCATTTTCTTAGAAATTCAGGCAGAATTCAACCAAACCACAGCCAGAGTAGAAGATTTAACAAAATTTTTTAGAATTTAATGGCTGGTGTTGACAAAGAGAAAAGGTGCAGAAGAGACTTAATATAGACATATTGTACTCCAAATCCAAGTCAAATGTATCATTTTCAACTGTTCATAGAAAACATACCAAAAATCAACCATATACTAGTCAACCAGATATGACAATCAGACTAGTCAACTAGATAAATTCTATAGTAAAAAAATCTTATATGTTATATTGAAAAGTATCCTGCAAATATAATCACTTGAAAATATAATAGCTGCTCTCTAAAATAGCCCAAATTGGAAATCAAGATAAAATGAAAGATATTTTGAAATTAATGTCAATGAAATGCTATTATATATGTCAAAACATAAAATGCATGGTCAAATTTATAATCTAGAGGAAACTTTATAGTTAAATGTTGCATCAATGAGTAGAAAATATATAATACAACTGAACTAAAAAATGTCTAAATTAGAAAAAAAGTACTAAAAATGTTGAAGGAAGGAATTAATGAAGACAAAATGTTAAAAAAAAAAGCTAATAAATTAGGTAAGAAGAACTACAATCACCATCACAACAAAAAGTTCCATTCAGAAGGAATTAATAAAGGCCAAATGTTTAAAAAAACTGATGAATTAGGTAAGAAGAACTAAAATCACTGCCACAACAGAAAGTTCCATACAGGCCAGGCGTGGTGGATCACACCTATAATCTCAGCACTTTGGGAGGCCAAGGCAGGTTGATCAGTTGAGGTCAGGAGTTTGAGACCAGCCTGGCTTACATGGCAAAACCCCATCTCTACTAAAAATAGAAAAATTAGCTGAGTGTGGTGGCATGCGCATGTAGTCCCAGATACTCAGGAGGCTGAGATGGGAGGATCGCTTGAACCCGGGAGGCACCACTGCACTCCAGCTTGGGCTACAGAGTGAGACCCTGTATCGAAAAATAAATTAAATCAATAAATAAATAAATAAATAATTTTTAAAAAGTTCCATACAGTGCTGGTTCTTTATTTTTATTTTATTATTATTCTTTGAATTTTAATTTAGGTTCAGTGAGTACATATGCAGGTTTATTACATGTGTAAATGGTATGTTCCTGAAGCTTGGTGTACAAATGATCCCATCACTCAGGTAGTGAGCATACTACTGGATAGGCAGTCTTTAACTCACCTTCCCTCCCACTTACCCCCTCAAGCAGTCCAGTGTCTAATGTTCCTATCTTTGTGTGCATGTGTATTCAGTTTTTAGCTCCCACTTATAAGTGAGGTCATTCAGTATTTGTTTTTCTGTACCTTTGTTAATTCACTTACAATAATGACCTCAAGCTGCATCCATATTGCTGTAAAGGACATGATTTCATTCTTTTTTATGGCTGTGTGGTATTCCATGGTGTATACGTACCATATTTCTTTATCTAGTCCACTGTTGATGGCATCTTAGTTGATTCCATTTCTTTTGCTATTCACAGCAAAAAGTTCCATTCAGAAGGAATTAATAAAGTGAATAGTGCTGCAATGACCACATAAGTGCATGTGCCTTTTTGGTAGAATGATTTGTTTTCCTTGGGTAAATTTGAGAAATGTGGGGTGAAATTACAGGAGGACCTTCTACTTTATACATGTCTATAATATTTAAACTTATAAATTGTATTACTGTTATTAATGTAATACAAATATATATATAAAGCAATAAAGAAAAGTAAAATCATTAATTGGTAAAAAAAAAAAGCAACAAACACAAGACACAGTGGGATATCTTAATAAATAAAAGGAACTTTTGAACAAATAAGATGAATACTCATAAAGATTATAAAAACATTAGTCCCCCCAAATTACAATCAACCAAAAAATCCAACAATTATTCAACATCATTATTAATAAAAGAAAGGCCAATTAAAGTATTAGCATGCCATTTGGCCTTTAACAATTTGGCAGTTTTTAAAAATATGCATTCTATTTTAGAGGATACTTTTTATGTACTATTTATATACAATAACTTAAAATCAAGAACCTTAAAATGATGCATACTCTTTAATCCATAATTCAAGTTCTAAGAGTCTCTGCTAAGAAAAATATCAGAGATATAGAAAAGAAACCCATATCACAGGTGATCCTTATAACTTCATAACAGTAAAAATTGTATGTAACCTAAATATTCAACAATATGGAGTAGTTGTCTTAATTCTGGCATAATGCAACAATGGGAACGTGTGACTGTGTTATTCCTTGGGCTCTGAGGTTTCTTTTCTCCGACTTTCATTGTCTCCTTATGTTTATTTTGTGCATATTGTCCAGGGTTTTTAGTAGTACTTAGCAGGAGGAATAGGGAAAAGTACACCTACTCCATCTTTTGAAGCCAAAATGGAATACATTTAAAAAATGTAAAGAGGACCCTGGCTTACAGGATGATAGTGATGATGGATATGGAATGCTGCAAATCCTAAGGGAACCCCACTTATTCTTCCTCCAGGTGACTGCAGGGACCGTTTCTAGAGCTAACGATTCCTGAAGAAAGAGGCTACCTGTTTTCCTTAGAGTATATTTGAATATGTTGAAGAAATGTGATCAATGGGAAAGTATCTTTTATTCTTCTTTCAAAGAAGCAAATTAATGAAATGTGAGAGAACAGACAGAAGGACAGCCAGATTTATGAGGAAGAGGTGATTATATTAGTGAAGTAATAGGAAAAATATGCATTAATTATTAAAAATTAAGACTTGGGATATTTATATAAATGGATATAGTGGCCACTCTTCCCAGAATGCTGAGATGAAGGGAATTTCATCTTTGTGAGGATACTGTAAGCTTCATAGAGGAGCTGTAGAAAATAACAGTGAAATAACATGAAATAAATAATAATAAAGTATGCCACACATGTGAAAACTCATATTCTCTAAAACAGCATTTTCCCCCTTATTTCCAGCTTTATTCTGTCTGGAAATTCCATCACACCAATTCCCTCAAACAATTGAAAGAAGATTTATAAAACTGATTCATGCAGAATTTCATGTTCTAGTTTGCACATTAATTTAATAAAGCAGTACATGCACTCTGAAGGACAGAACTCCGAAAAAAGCATCATAACTGAAAGATCCTCTGCAAATCTCAGATGATGGTAAAATCATTCAAAAATAATAAGGATGTGACTCGCAGTAGAAGAAAAACAATGAACCTTGCAAATACAAGTTGGAACAACCCTGGTAAATATGATAGCAAATTATTTCTGAGTGCTAGGTCACCCATGTATCTATTAAGAGTAAGTTATACGAAGCAGAAAATTGCAGTGGAGATTTATAAATGTGCAATAGTTATGACTGATGTTATGATTAAGTGTCTTTGATTTTGCACCATTCAGAACAGTCTTACGAATAATCATTTATTAAGCAAGTAAATTATTGAAATTATCTTCAAAGTACTTTTAGTGTTAAAAGTATTTTACCATATCTTTATTCATCCATGCTAGTGTGTACAAGAAGCTGTCCTAGAATCTGTGGTCCACATAAATTAAACATAAACTTTGCCCACAAGGTGTTGGGGAGTAACTTAGGTACCTTGAATTACTTTCTGGAGTGGGTGAGATATTTGTTAAAAATAAGTAGACAGTAATTAACCAGCGTACTCCATTTGCAAGCATGATATTTTACAAAGTTAGCTGTTCTAGAATACATAAAAATGTCATGATTAATTCATGTGTGATCTGCTCATTTCACTAGCAAGCAGTGACACAGATACAACAAGGATATCTGGAAATGGGGCCACATATATTGTAAGAATGTGAGGCCGGGTGCAGTGGCTCTCACCTGTAATCCCAGCACTTTGGGAGGCCGAGGCAGGTGGATCACGAAGTCAGGGGTTCGAGACAAGACTGACCAACATGGTGAAACCCTGTCTCTCCTAAAAATACAAAAATTAGCTGGGCATAGTGATGGGCACCTGTAATCCCAGCTACTCAGGAGGCTGAGGCAGGAGAATTGCTTGAACCTGGGAGGCGGAGGTTGCAGTGAGCCGAGATCGCGCCACTGCACTCCAGCCTGGGCGACAGAGGGAGACTCCATCTCAAAAACAAAAAAAACCCCAAAAAACAAAAAAAAAGAACAGCTTTATGATTCTGTCACTGGAAATTCTCCCCCAGGTCATGAGTACCCATTCCTATACTATTAGTGCAACTAATGTTTCACTCACCCTATAGGTGGAAAAAAAAAAAAAAGACATGATAGATCAGGTGAAAATTCTAGCTGTGAAAGTAACTGACCTTACACACATTTAGTTTCTTTAAGCCTGAGTCATTAGCCAAATTTTGACTCCTTAATCCTAATTGAATCAGGAATCCTAACATTAATGTTCATTTGATGATCAGAACTGTCCACACCCACACAGCTTGCTATCCTCATTAGGAAAATTGTATTGTTCAACTGTCTTCACTAATGTGACTTTACAATGCCAGGAAACTTCTCAGGAAGATAAAAGTTGTAAATAATGGTATTGTTTGTTTCAGAAAAACTTCCCACCTCCCCAAATAAAACATTCAAATGAACATCAGACATTCAACTTTTCAATAACTAGCATCAAACTACCCTTCTCCTTGTTACTCTGAAACCTTACCTCAAAATCTCCACCTTGCTATGCTCACTAAACCTCAACTGTTATAGCATGATCCTAATCCACTACCAACCAAGCCCCCATGATGAAAGGTGAACCTTAAACCAAACTTCCAGACCTCATAAATATTCCAACTTTACCTGCTAAGAAGCTACTAAGATTCTATCAAGATAATGCATTTTCTTTCCTTCGAAAGCAATAAAATCACTTTGTCCTGTGGACCCTTCATTTCAGTGGGACTTTCAGGGAGCAAGCATTTTGTAAGTTCTTAAGAACTAATAGGAAAATTACAAACTTTCAAATTAGAAGATATGAAGACAATATAAAGAAAGGGGCCTATCATAATTGTAGCAGATGAAAGTAAAGGACCAATTTTATAATAATTTTCACATAAAAAATAACTGCATGTGCTGACTATTCTAGGACTGAAGAAAATTGAATTAAGTGAAACAGTGAAGACTGTAGATTATGTCGTAAAATAAAGTGACACCAACCTATAGCCTTCCTCTTTTAACCTTGGTGGCAATTTGAAATGGGAAAGCATTTAACTGAAACTGACTCTAGCCTTCCTGAATAGCTGAGAGAGAGCCTTTTATACTCTTCTAACCATAAGAGCCAGGATTATGAAAGATCCTCACCCATGAGGATGCCTGAGTTACTGTCCTACAAAGGGCAGGATGAAAGACATACTAGGAAGTAAGTTCTGTTCCCAAATGGGACTGGAGCGCCTCTAGAAAAACACGAGTTATCCCCTATCAATGCGAGCTCATCTAAAAGTCCAAGATAGCGATCAGCCATAGCTTTCCCTGATCAAGAGATTGAATTGCAACTGGAGCCCCCATCAGTGCCCCTCATAAGCTTAGAGCTATTTCCCACCGTCCCTTGGAAGCAATGGTGGTACATGAACCATGCTCTCATGGGACAATGCCTTCTTCATTTATTTTTATTTTTATTTAACTTTTATTTCAGGTTTAAGGATACATGTGCAGGTTTGTTATACAGGTAAACTCGTGTCACAGGGACTTGTTGTGCAGATTATTTCATCACTGAGCTACTAAGCTTAGTACCCAATAGTTATTTTTTCTGCTCCTCGCCCTCCTCCCTCCCTCCTCCCTCCCTCCACCCTCAAGTAGGCTCCAGTGTCTGTTGTTCCTTTCTTTGTGTTCTTGAGTTCTAATCATTTAGTTTCCATTATAAGTAAGAACATGTGGTATTTGATTATCTGTTCTTGCATTAATTTGCTAAGGATAATAGCCTCCAGCTCCATCTATGTTCCCACAAAAGACATGATCTTGTTCTTTCTTATGGTTACATAGTATTCCACGATGTATACGTACCATGGAACAATGCTTTCTTCAAATGTTTCTCTTTGTGAGGTAGAGCAAATCCTCATCTTCTGTTTCTCCCGCATTGTGCCCTTCCATAAAAGAACTTCATTTCCCATCATCGTCTGATACTCGTTTGGTTTGAGGCTAAAGGATGAGGACGGCAAGAAGTATGCTGGGAAAGGGCTATTGGCTTTGTTCAGTCATTGTATGGGGACTGGGGCTGTTAGCCATGAAAGCCACACCTTTGTCCATGTCGAGTTTTGGAAGGTCTGGACCCATGAAGAGATTAGGCAAGATTACTGGGGAGGGCAGGTTTGGAGGCCGTTCATCATTTAGCTGATATTGAGGGATTATTATTTGCTAGGTACTGTGTTTGTGGTGATGAACAAATTGATGAGCAGGCAGATTTTCTTCCTTCCCTCACTGAGCAGAATTTAACACTGAAGATGAACCTCAATAAAGGAATTGGACACGTAAGAGTAAATGTACATAACAGATATGAGCAGCCATGATGCTGTCTAGGTTGGAAAAGTCTCCCTAGGAAGTATGATTGGAGTGGTACCTAAAGGAAGAGGAAAAGTTACCTTGGCAAAGTGGTGAGGGAGGAGTGTTCCAGGCAGAGGGAATAGCATGGATGAAGGTGAAGTGATAAGGACCACATTCAAGGGACTTCAGTAAGGTCATTGTAGAGCAAGGTCTTGGATTAGGCTGAGGGATAGGAGGAGCAGATCCTGCAGGTGTTGGAGGCTGCATTCAGTTTCAGCCGTTATCCTGAGAGCAGAGGGAGAAGAGTAGGTCTGCGGCATGAGCAGTGGCCTCTAAGAGATAGGAAAGAGTCAGGAATCCTGAATTTCAAGGGTGGCAGAGCCCTATGCCCACTCATGCGTGGCACCCACAGCCAATACACAGACAAGTACTATTGGCTTTATTTTCAAATATATTCCAAATCACATCTTCTCTCACCCTCTTCTGCATATGTCGTGGCAGTGAATTCCTGATTTGTCCTCCTGCTAACTTTTGTCCATCTGCAGCCTATTATAGACACAGAAATCCAAGTGACTTTGTAAGATGAAAATCACTTGGTGTTTTTTTTTTGTCATACTCTTCCCATCTACGGTAAGCAGAAATCTAAGATTATTTTCAATATGACCACCCCTTGGTGTATATGCCTTGCATAACCCCTTCCTTTGAGTCTGAGAAGACCTGTGATTACGAGGGACTTGTGCAGATGTAATTAAGGTCCCTAATCAATTGACTTTAATCAAAAGGCACATTGTCTTAGGTGGGCCTGACCCAATCAGGTGATCCCTTTAAACAAATCAGAGACATCTGAGGCCATACAGATTCTCTGCTGGCCTGGGAGAAGCAAACTCCCATGTTGTTGAGATGACAATGTAGCAAAGACCTGAGTGTGGCCTCTAGGAGCTAAGAGTAGTCTTCTAAGCTAGCAAGAAAAGGGGGAGCTCAGTCATGCCTCTGCAAAAAAAAAAAAAAAAAAAAAAAAAAAAAAAAATGTATTCTGCAAACATCTTGAAGGAGCTTAAGATGTATTTTTTTTCTCATAAATGTCTCCAGATGAGGATGCAGCCAGATAACACCTGATTTTAGCCTTGTGAGACCCTGAGCAGAGGATCTAGCTAAAATAAGTTGGACTCCTGAGGCATGGAAATTGTGGGATAAAAGATTTGTTTTTTCAAGCCACTAAATTTGTGATAATTTGTTACAAAGAAACAGAAAATGGTGCTTAATTTAGCAGCATTTATATTGAGGAGTAGGTCTTTTTTTTTTTCCTAAATGATATTTTTATCTCTAACACTTCACACAGTACGTGGGACATATTGAGTGTTCAACAAATATTTGTTGAGAGAAGTTGCAGATTGAAGATGACAGGATTCAGTGAGTGGATGACAACGTGGGCATGTGTGGAGGCTGATCACTCAGCCTGCTTGTCTAGGGGAAAGTAAAGAGAGTTTTTATGATCAGTGAGAGGCACCTTAGAAGGGTATGCTTGAGGCTTGCCTGCATAAGCGGTGTGACAGGTGGCAGGAAACCAGCACTCAACATTGATAGTGTGAACCAGGTGCAAGGCAGTGATGACAACTTCCCCAGGGGCAGAAGATGGAAGACTTCCCTGGGCCACATCGTTATGGGAGTCCTGGTATTACCCAAACAAGGCAAGACACCACGACCAATGAATGATGTTGGTCTTGACACTCACTGACCACGGCAAGTGGGTACTCAGAGCTGGATTTGATGTAGAGAAATATATAAATTGGCAAACATTGCACCTTAGTGTCATGGGGAATTTCAGACCCTGTCTAAGGCCTGAGAGCCTTTGAACTTCGTGCTTGATTTTCACTCAAAAGAGAATCCTTGCTGATGAAAATCATTTTCAATCAAGAAAATGATGATAAGACAATAATAAAGTGGAGAATTAATGACTTGAATTTCTATTTTTTAAGCTCAGGGTAATGCTATTTGGATTTGACACAGAAATGTCAAACAGCAAAGAACGGTAGGGGTAAAAAGCTTGAGCTCTGTGATCAGATGGCTTGTGTTTGCATTGCAGTGCTACTGCTACCTACAGGATGTGGTAGCTGCATCCTCAGAAGACTCACCAGTGCTCTCAAGGCCATAGCACTTCATGTTCACCTCCACATGACACATAACCATCTCCCTTCTTTGTGCCTTAGTTTACCTTTCTATAAAATGGGCATAGTAATAGCATCTACTTCAAAATGTTGCCAAGTGGATTAAATTTGGTATTATGTAAAGTCCTTGGTGGAATGGCTAATAAAAATTCATGGTTATTAATAGCATCGGGTAGTTAATTCTCACTCAAGCAAGTCTCCGGCTACATAGATCTCTGAGATGTTTAAGGAATAGAATCAGCTATGTCACATAGCTGGATTCAGAAATTGTGAAATGCCTCTTCTTAGCTTTAATCTTGCTCCCTTCTTAACTGTATTTCAAGGCCACCAAGGTGACACATGCAAGCTGTTGATAGTTAGGTTTTGATGTACACATATACACACGCTGAACATTAAATAGATATTCCCTGCAAAACACTAGGTCCCAGAAAACAGTCTCCTCTGTATTTGATGAAATAATTTCCTTTCTAGGATGATACTTTAAAAGACCTGACCTTCACTGACATCACCCACATGCCAGATGAGATTAGTGAGCCACATAGCAAAGTTTCTGATATGAAATAGTAATAGAAAACCTTTTTATTTGTCTTATATTTTGAGGGCTGAATATAAAATACAATTTCCAGACTTGACTACTCCAGGAACCAGTTGAAAATTTTGTGCATGATTTTGTTTTTATAAGCTAAATGTATCTCTGTCACCCCTGTATCAAAGACTCAAGCCAATAGAAGTAATACTACAGGTTCAGAATCCAAGGACTATTTGCCATATACTCTGAGTATTACAGAATAATTTTAACAATTGTAAATCCCACACATTCTGAAAGGAATGCATTCTCTGCACTCAGAGATCGGGTTGGTTTCAGCCCAGCCCTAAACATTGTGGGTCAGGTGTCCTAAAAGAGCTGCCCCAAATTGCCTGAGGAGGTTATATGCATTTATCTGAATTCCTCTGAGGAACAGATCTCCTCTGTAAGAGAACAATAGGCACACAGGATATTTAGAGGCAAGAAAGTTCCCAAATATGGAACATGCAGAAGAGGAAAGACATCCTTACACATCTGTTAAAGCAGACTTCTCATGTCCTTCTGTGACCATTAAGCCAGCATTTCATGCCAGGGAGTACATCTTAAACAGACAATTCTCTCCTTTGCTGCTTACTGGAAGTGTAGCACTTAAATCTCTCAAAACCTACCAATTTTATTTGTAGCAGAGAATTCTGCACAAGGTCTTGGTGACCCATGGGGGTCACAGAATTTTTAGAATGATAAAATAATTTATTGAAACCAGTGAGTTGTTATGTGAAGGGCTGCATTTGAGATGCAATCGCTACTTTTTAATTCCCTATTATGTGTCAGTCAGGCAAGCAGTTTCACATTTGTGCTCTTAACTATTTATGATTTTGCATGTGAAGATACTGAAGCTCAAAATGTTGCCTAAAATGCGATATTGGCATGGATATTTAGCTGCGATTTGAATTCATCCTTCTATCTCAAAACCAGTATTCTTTGTATAAAGAATGTCTTTATATAAAGAATTCTTAGACTGTTCTGGCTGCTATAACAAAATACCATAAACTGGGTAGCTTATAAAGTACAGAAATTTATTTCTCACAGTTCTGGAGGCTGGCAAGTCCAAGATCAAGGAGCCAGCAGGTTTTGTGTCTAGTGAGAGCTGGATTTCTCACAGGTTGCACTTTCTTGATGTGTCCTCATGTGGCATCAGCAAGGCAGCTCCTGGGGACTCTTTAATAAGGGTCCAAATCCCACTATGTGAGCTCCACCCTCATGATCTGATAATCACCTCCTCAAGCTTCCCATTTCCTAATATCATCACTTTGGGGGGTTTCAAGTTCAACATACAAATTTTGGGCGGACAAAAACATTCAGACCATAGCAAATCACTTTGAGATTTGCAGCATCATTGAAAGAGAACATGTTTAAGAAGCTAATTTTGGAGGCAGAGAAGAATGTGATGTTTTCTTTCAGAAATCTCTGGCCTTGTAAAATACAGGAAAATAAGTGATACTCAGTATGAATATTTTTTTCCTGAAATGTGATGCAACTGATTTTGTGCTCAGTTAAATCTTATTTCCATTATGTGTTCATCATTGAGTGTAAAAAGCTTTCCCCCTCCCTTTTAGACTTCAGCATAGCCACATTTTAATTGTTAGAAACTGCTTTTTGATTTAGGGCAACCTTTACATAGCTTTTTCAAATTCAAGAAATAAGGTACAATACAATTGAGAAGCTTTTGCCGTCAGCCTCGGCTGCAGCCTCTGAGAAGTGTGGGTGGCTGAGAACAGCCATCCTCCACGGCAGGACTGTTTCAGCAGCCCTGCTGAAAAGGCAAAAACAAACATGACTCTTTCTGACCAGGAATTTCTCCTCTTTGATTCCTCATCTGCATAGAGTCTCTTTTTGCCAGAGGCTTTTGAATCCATTGAGGGATGACATGAGAAAAAGGTGCATTTCAGGTTACAAAGTTTGACTTCCCCAGTCTATTGATTTGTGGTACTATGTAGAATTCACCATCCGTCAATAGTCACAGAGAGTCTTTACGTCCCTTTTCTTCCATGATGGACTACTTTAGACTGGTGTCTGAATATCTCTTATTTTGTATGTTAATTTGGGTGATGTATGAATGTGAAAAGCTTGTGATGTACCGGAAAATTCATATAAGAAAATGATAATTTAAGTGTTCTGTTTGCTTAATTACATTTTTAGAGTACTTTCATTCTAGGGGGTTTAGGAACATGGATCTGAGGTGGGATTAACACAATGTGGATCCTGCCTCTACCATTTTTTAGCTCTGGCTACCTGAGCAAGTCACTCAAACTCTCTGTACCTCTATTTCTCTATGAACTAGAGACAATAATAGCAAATTCATGCAGTTATTCAAAAGATTTAGATCAGTACATGTAAAGCAATAATACCAAGTGTGACACACAGTAAGTGTTAGTAATTCTAAAATATGTTTCATTATCCCAATATGCACTCTAGCACGGGACTAAAGTATTTGAATCCAAGAACTGAATAAAATTCTTGACATTTTCATGTGAAATATGAAAAGCGATTTTCTCTGAACTTTAATTTTCTTTATGAGCACTACATTTAATCAGAAGTTTTAACCATGGGTGTTGGGATGCAGGATTGAGCTCTTTCTTTTAGTTTGGACACTGAGAGATCTTACATTTCTAAATTAGTCTGCCTCTCTGTGAGCCTTTCACCTGGTACTTTGCCAGCAGTATGTAGGAGTCAAGGGAAAATTACTACTAACAGTTGGAGATGGTATTCAGGAAGGTCTTTGTTAGGAATGAAAAGTTGGCATCTTTGTGGTGGTGCTAGGCTTGAATTTTAAGCGATCCTGGCTATGAAAGCACATGGATGGAGGAATTCCAGGAAATTAGATTTCTTTTCTCTCATAGGAAGCATTTGGTGCTAACAATCCACATAAAAATGGGGAGTGGTTTAAATACCAGCTAAATTCTCACAAACTTCTTTTTATATTGACAAAAGGTATGCAGACATTACCTTTAAGATAGCATTGTAGAGAGAATTTCAGGTTAATCTCTTGAAGATGAAAACTCAAGCATATGTTTATGAGATCAAGTTAAATATTATTGTCAACTTGATACAGCTATTGGTGAAAGCATCCTGGGAAACACCTAGATCAGCAGTAGGCTCATCGGTCCAGCCTCTTATGTATCCCACAGCTGCCACCAAGCACTGATGTGTCCAAAGGCTATTATAGACAACTGACCTCACATATAGAGAGCGCCCAACATAGTGTGATTCCAGGGGGATTTAAAACCACCTTCTTTATCCAGCTTATTAATACCTAGAGTTCTAATCTGAACATGTCATTGATTTCAGTTCCATGGATTCTTTTAAGCATGTGTTTTGATAAAAGAATAGGGTGGTCCCAGCTACAGGAATCACTGACCTCTATGATACCAAATCTACTGCACACTTTTTGATATTCATTTTTATTTTACTTCAGAAGCATTTGACAGAACTGACTTCTCCCTCCTTCAGTATTCTCTTCTCTTGGCTTCCTTGACAACTCCCTCCCTCCCTCTCCTTTGGACACCCTTTCTTAGTTTTCTTGATTGGCTTTATCCAATCAGTAAATATTGGCACTTTGGAAGCCTCTTCCTCTTTTCTGTCTTTCTTTTCGTGACCTTTCCACTCTTGCCACTTCAATACCACTCATTCACTAATAACTCTTACTTTTCTTAGGCTCCCCACAAAGCAGAGTAAGATCAAGGCTTGCATGCAGGTAGTGATTTGGAAAGTTATCCCAAGCGGTGGCAATGAGGTATGCTGGAAATGAGACAAGGAAAGAGGAAAGGCCAGCAGAAAAATGCATTATCAAGGCAACAATCCTGAAGGCACTTCTCAGATCTCTTCACCCAGGGGAGAGAAACAAGAAGTGTTGATTCATCAGCTTCTTTTCCTGGTTGTTCAAGGGTGGCTTATATAAGTTTACTCCTTTATACTTCTGGGGTGCACATATATGAGCCTTAGGCAGCAAACAAGAGATAGGTGGCATTATCAGACATTATCAGGTTGGACCTGTGAAAATCTGATTGAAACCTGGATGTGGGATACCAGCCATAGTTGTAGCAACTTTGGCCAGTGTAAGAGATAGGGATGAAAGGTTGTAAAGATGCACAAAAGGGGCTGTTACAACTCCCAAGTACATTTCTCTAGCCCAGACTTTACTGAGCTCCAGACCCATGTAACTTCTTAGACTTTGCATATACTAAGTTGATCATATGCTCCTTTCCCCAAAGCCTGTACTTCCCAAGTTTCCTGTTTTAAGAAATGGTACCTAGTTTTTCATGTCACAAAACCTAGTCATTATACTTGACATTGTGCTGTCTTCAACTCTCCATGTGAATTCATCCCAAATTCAACCTCTTGGTGATTCCTTTCCATTTCCACAGCTACTACCGTAGTCCAAGCCACCGTCTTCTTTTAATTTGACTATAATAGCTACCTAACATTTACTCTTTATTCCTTGAATCTGTTCTCCACTTTGAACTGAAAGGACCCATTTTAAAAATGAAATCGTAAGCACATAACTCCCTTAAGTCCCCTTGCTAGCTTCCCATTGCTCAACATCAAATCCAGACTCCCTAAATGTGGTCCACACAAACTGGATGAACTGAACCCTGCCCATCTCTGGTCATTCTCCTTACTCACAAAGGTCCAATTGCACAGAGCTTCCTTGTATGTGTCAAATGACACAAGCCCCTTCCTTCCTCTATTTCTGCACACATTCCTTTGGTATGTATGCTGTTTTCTGTGAATTTTTAAAATACTGATTAACAGAGATATTTGAAACTTTAAAGGAAGGGATGAGGCAAACACAGGGGAGGTCTAGAGGGACATAAGTAGTTAAGGAAGATGGAACTGAGGTCTTACTTAAATGTTTACTACTTCACAATTTTCACCCCAGTCTTGCATCCAAGTCTTCACTATTTATTTACTTAGCAAACAGTTATATCAGTTGTATAGCACTTAGTTTG
The DNA here is from genome assembly GCF_000001405.40 of Homo sapiens. Classification (NCBI taxonomy): domain Eukaryota; kingdom Metazoa; phylum Chordata; class Mammalia; order Primates; family Hominidae; genus Homo; species Homo sapiens. The sequence continues at coordinate 76,497,852 of NC_000013.11, read as the reverse complement.
TGCAAAGCAGCATCCCAAGTGATTTGACATTAATTCATTTACTTAATTCCTGCTGTGTTGCAGAACACAGCAATGTTTCAGATTCTGGTTCCTTAATGTTGCCATGCTCATTAGACAAAACACTATACCTTAGAAAATCTTGTAGTTGTGTAGAATGAGTGGTTTAAACCTTGAGATGACGCGATTACAAATTATGAACTTCTAGAAATACCTGACTCTTAAAAAAATCTTATTTATTTTTCATTGATACATTTAATATTTAATGAGAACCTTCTACATGTTAAGAGCTGTGCTACCATTGAGATGTGCTGCTAGAACCTAGATTCACTATGCTTAAACTTCACTCTGCCCACTCTGCAGAGTCTCCCCACTCTGCTGGAATTGCCTGCCATGTGTCTCTCTTTCCATTTTGGATACATCTCTTCACACCTACCTGTCAACTTACAATAAGAAAATACATTTAATTTATTCCAAATTTCTTATATTGGGATACAAGACCATTTATTATGTGTATGTGGCCCAGGCTATTTCCCTAAGAGTTAGATTCTAACCTCTTTTCACATACACTCCATCTTCAGCCATGCTGAAATCCCAGCAGGAGTATTTCACCTGAACTGCCCTCTCCTCTCCTTCCCCTGTCTTTGCATTTGTCCTTCTGCTTGCAAAGCTCTTTCCTCTTTTATTGCCCCAAAGATTCCACTCGCTGTTTTTTTCTTTTTTTAACAAACACATGTACATAATTCAATCCCACTGTAAGTAGATATGTGCTTTTAAACTGATGTATAAAGGAGCGGTGTCAAGGGAACAGGGCCAGCAGCCTCAGGATGCAGGGCCAGCAGTGGATGGTAGTCATCAACAAGATCTTTTAATATCTGTGAAATTGCTTGAAAGCTCATTGCTGAGCCAGCGACCACAATAATGACTCTGGTAGTCAGAAGGATGCTGAAGACCAGGCTACAGATGTTCAGGCACTTGATGGTGGAGGCAAAGGTTCATTCATGTTTAAAGACCCAGGCCAAATGCTGTCTTCTGGGAGGAAACTTATTTTGCAGAGCTGGCCGCTCTTTCCTCTGAACTCTCACATCGTTCTGTATGTATATTTTATTTTCTCAAAGATACTATCTTTTACATGTTTGCAAGTTCCTAATTAGACTCTGAGCTTTTCAAGTTGACAAGTTATATAGCTTCTTCATTTTTATTTTATCAGCATTTTGGGAAGAGAGACTATCACCATCATAACAACAAAGATAAAATATTGAAGAATACACCCAGTGAAAAATATTCAGACACAATATGAAGAGAGTTTTAATATTCCGTTGAAGAATAGGAAGTAACTTCTAAATAATGGAAAGCCATTTCCTGTTTTTGGATAGAAAAATGAAATTATTATTGACAACTTTCCCAGAATTAAACAATAGACTTCCCTATACCTCAATTAAAATGTCAACAGATATTTTAAAAACTTGACAAAAATCAGATTAAAAATTAATATGTGAGAATATTTTGAAATATTTTGATACTGAAAAGTAATTAACAAGAAATCATTTTTATTGTTTTAAAAGTACTATGGAGCTACCCTAAAATAATTTGCTAATAATGGATAACTAGATCAAGAAAACAAAGAAATTCAGAAATATACTCATTAATAATTTGATACAGAAGATATTTAAATTTGTTGAAGAACTGATAGATTAATCAGAAAGTTCTGTTGGGCCTTTGACTAGGTCTTTTTAAGCAAAGATGAATCTGTACTTGAAGTTTTATTCTGAAATAAATACCAGAAATATAAGTATATAAATACATGGCTCACGCCTGGAACCCAACACTTCGGGAGGCCAAGGCAGGTGGATCACCTGTGGTCAGGAGTTCAAGACCAGCCTGGCCAACATGGCAAAAACCTGTCTCTACTAAAAAATACAAAAATTAGCCGGGCGTGGTGGTGGACACCTGTAATCCCAGCTACTCGGGAGGCTGAGGCAGGGAGAATTGCTTGAACCCAGGAAGTGGAAGTTGCAGTGAGCCAAGATCATGCCACTGCACTCCAGCCTGGGTGACAGAGCAAGACTCTATCTCAGGGAAGAAAAAAAAGTAAGTATATAAATATAATGAAATTCTGAAAGTACCAGAAAAAAATTATTTTATGTTAAAAACTCTTTAGAAAAGAATTCTTCTAACCCACAAAGAGAGGAAAAGCCATAAATTGGACCACATTAAGAATTGCAACTTTTTTTAATTTTTGAAATATTTACTATGGTAGTCAATAAAACTTTTTTTGGTAATAACTGTAGTAATAATTTATTACGCAGAGTAATCATTCTTGAGCGTACACACTCCAGAGGAGCAGCTGGGTCTTTGTGTCATAAAAAAGTGACAACTGAGGAAAATATTTGCAAAATATAAAATATATGCCAGACACGCATTCTATTTCCTTAATACATAGAGTTCTTAAAATACAAAAATGAGCAAAGACTTGAAGCAACATTTCCCAGAAAAAAATTACAAACAGTGAATAGCCAGCATATGATAAGTTGCTAAAATCACTCATAATACGAAAACTTAACAAGACACCATTTTTGTCTATCATATTGTAACACTAAAATATTTTATGATAGCCAGAATTGGCTAGAAGAAATAAGTACGTCCACATCTTGTTCAAAGACAAGTTGAAAATATCATGATTTCTTGTTACCCAGAAATCCCACTTTTCAGAGGAATTTATCTAACTGTTTGATTTCCACAGGTATACAAATATATATGGGCAAAGATGTTCACTGAAGTTCAAATGCAGAAACAATACAAATATTTATCAATAGAAAAAGTACTAATAATATTCATGCATTCTGCTGTTTTGAAACTGTGATCAGAAGTGGGTAGATTTAGCTACTTTGATGAAAAATTGACCAATATATTGGTTAATAAGAAAAGAAAATTATAAAACAGAAGCATTGGTATAGACAAAAGGACAGTGCATATAATGTGTAAATATATTTTTCTGGAAAGATAGATATGAAACTGCTGATGTGGTTAATTCTGGAAATGACAACTGAGTGGGAAGAGAGATGGCAAGGAGACAGTATCACCTTATATGCTTCTGCATTGTTTGAATTAGTTTAACTGAAGATTCTTTTTAATATATTTTATTTTTTTCCTAAAACAGCAACTCATCTTACCTCTTTCACTTTACACTCAGACACTTATCCAGAAATAACTTGTTTGTACTAACACACATAGTGTCTGGTAAGTGATGGATCCAGAAATTGAAATATTCATGCTCACTTGATGTGACAAATCCCTTTGGGGGTTAAATTTTATATTTATAGTTTGCTCTGACAGAAATATTAAAATCTGCATTTGCATGCCACAGCGAGGATGTTTTGGGCACAAACAGAGGCTCTTGCTGCTGCAGTGAAGGGCAGATGCCTCCAACAGGAGTGACAGTATTTATTCTGGCATTGTGAAAATCCTGTTTTTTTCCTTGTCCTTTCTTTTCTGTACTTCCCTCTGGGTTAAGCAGAAAAATAACTTTTACAATGGTACCATTTTCTTAGTAGCTTCCTGGTAAAAATAAAAGGGGGAAAAGTGTGACCTTTCTATGTGGTCTAATTACTGAACCTGGAAGCTTGACTCTAAACGGTGTAACTACAGGTACCAGGAATTAGGCGAGTGACTCTTGTGATTCTTACATTTGATCAGAACTTTAGAAGGTGTGGAGGTAACAAATATAAATGAGAGAGAAATATATAAAGGATGTCCTTTCTAGGCTCTTTTTGTTCTTCAGAAGCACCTGTTTCTGGGATTTCAGTCAATTCCACTTACTTGAATTAAAAGAGTAGAGCTCAGTATCCAATCTCCACAGGGAGAAGAACCATGTTTAATACTGATCATTTTTAGCCATGTTTTCAATGTTGAATTCCACACAATTAAATAGGCAATTTCCCCCAGGTGGTGGTAATATTTTAAGACATGATGATGTCTCAAAGGTGAATTTTTCAATAATATTAATACTTAAACATAGAGCTTTGTATGTGGTGGTAACTTAGAAAAATTTATTCATAGCCACACACTTTTGCTTGTTTAAGTGACAATAGGATACAAAGGACATAAGGAATTTCAACTTATAATATTCAGCGTTTATAATGAAGTTAAAACAACAAATATGTAGTCAAAGACAAAAACTCAATATTTAAAGACAAGAATATAAAAATATTTAACTCTGTATTTCTCCAAACACTGAACACAGTAATTTAGCACAGTACATTGGCACTCTCAGAATTCAACTCGGCCAATTTAATAGGAGACTTTACTTGTTTCTAGAAATATATGTACTGTATTTTTTTCTTTTTTTTTTTTTTAAATTGTTCCTCATAGACTTGTTTATGAGGAAAGCTACTAATTCATTTTTTGTGACTCCAATGTAAAACCATGAACAGGTAGGTATCTCAGCTACTTACCAGAAAAGGGAGAGATCTTAGTACTAGCTTCACTTTTCAAAATGAAATTTAGGTAATTTTATGGGGTTTGAATTTAAATTTTATTAAAAAAAATAGACCATGCTCAGTGAAAACAATTCAAAGAATTCAAAAGGTTATAGGGTGAAAGTGTGAAAGTGAGAATCTCCCTTTACTCCTTTCTACTTCACTTCCCAAAGTAAAACTCAATTCATATATATATAATACATATAAATATATATAATACAATAAATATATATAATACATATAAATATATAATGCATATATAATATATAAGTATATATAATACATATAAATATATAATATATAAATATATATAATATATAATAAATAAATATATATATATATATTTTTTTGAGATGGAGTCTTGCTCTGTCGCCTAGGCTAGATGTAGTGCAATGGTGCAATCTCGGCTCACTGTAACCTCCATCTCTCGGGTTCAAGTGATTCTCCTGCCTCAGCCTCCAAAGTAGCTGGGACTATAGGCACCTGCCACCATGCCTGGCTAATTTTTGTATTTTTAGTAGAGACATGGTTTCACCATATTGGCCAGGCTGGTCTCAAACTCCTGACCTTCTGAACCACCCGCCTTGGCCTCCCGAAGTGCTGGGATTACAGGCTTGAGCCACTGCGCCCGGACAAATCTTAAATTCTTAAATATTTTTTGTCAGAGATTGGTTTTCTTTGCTAAGATTTTCTATATTTTCATTGATTTCAAGATAATTTTCAATTGCTTGTTAAAGCCTTTATATGAAAGCAGCTTTTAAATCCTTGTCAGATAATTCTAGTGTCTGATTCATCTTGGCTCTGGCATTAGTTGATTGTCTTTTCTTGGCATGGTGGGTTACTTTTAATTGTATCATAGACGTTCTGAAAATTGTGTTAGGAGACTCTAGATCCTATTTAAATCTTTTATTTTAATAAGAAGTTACTTGCTTAGGTTTAGCCCACAGCTCTAGGCTTATTTTGTGGGCTGTGGTTCTAGCAACAATTTAATTTTTTAAAAATCGTGCACCTCAATAGTTTTCAGTATAGTCACTGATACATGCAACCATCACCACAGTCAATATTAGAGCACTTCCATCATACAAAGAGAATCCCTGTTCTCTTTGAGAATCACCTCCCCGTCTCCCCATCACCCAGCCCTAAGTAACCATTCATTTACTTCTATGTCTACAGATTTTCCTGTTCAACATTTTACATAATGGAATCACAGAACGTATGATCTTCTGTTACTAGCTTCTTTCACTTAGCATGTTTTCAAGGTCCATCTATGTTATAGCGTGTATGAGAACTTTATCCCCCTTTATAACTGAATAATTTTCCATTGTGTGGCTATGCCAGACTTTGTTTAGCCATTCATCAGTTGATGGATATATGGGTATTTCCACAGTGCTGCTATGAATATTTGTGTACAAGGTTTTGTTTGAACACCTTTCTTTGCTTCTTTGGGATATATGCCTAGGAGTGGAAGTGCTTGGCCAGGTGGCAGTTTTGTATTTAATTTTTGAAGAACCACTAAACTGGACGACACAGTGGCTATGCCATTTTGCATTTCCACTAGCAATATATAGGGGCTCCAATTTCTCCACATTGTCATCAACACTTGTTATTTTCTTTTTTTGTTGTTGTCGTTAGTTTGTAAACAATTTAACCATTAGAGCCTTTACACTGCTATTTTTATCTGTTTGGTTTATTTGGTGTCATTAGGGCTCTCACTGGACCTTGCTAGTGCTACTGAGAGGAGGAAGGAATCTCCCACAACTGAGTTGCCTGCCTCTAGGTGGGGAAGGGAGTCTCTCCCTCTTCCAGGGGATAAAGAGTGCTTCTGAAGTCAATTCTTATTGTGGCTGGATCCCCTTTGAGGGTGCTGCCTGACTGCTCATTGGCTCCATGTGGGGAAGGAGAGTCTCAGGCCTGATGCAGAAGGAGCACATATTCCTCGGTTGCATATTTTCAGCACAAGGCTTGATCACCCCCCTGTATATGTTGCCTTGCTTACCTCGCATTGCTGAGAGGACTCCTATTTGATTCAGGGGAGGAATGAGCCTATTTAGGTTGCCTTCCATTGCTAGACTGCGAATTTGGCATGCTAGGACTGGATAGCCTTTTTCTGTTGGGTAGAAGGTTGTAAGACCATTGGATACTCTATTTTCCTAGCTGTCTTGGAATCACTAACCAGTTCGTCTTCCACTTTCCACCTCTCAGAGTTCTCCTTCAGTTGCTTCTTATATTTCCAGGGTTTATAATTGTGCTTAGTTGGGAGGAGCTGGGAGAAAAGAATCTATACCCTCTTATCCAAACTGGAAGTATAATTATTTCTTAACACGTATGTCTCCTTGAATAAGCACTGAGTACTTAAGCATAGGGACCATGTCTTACTTGGTGTTTTCAGTGGTTAATTTAGTTTCTGACACATGGCAGGCACTTACTAAAGATGTGGTAATGAATTAACATACAGAATTTGCTCTAACTATATTTTAGTACGGTGAGCTTCTGTGCCCTGTTACTTAGCAGTGATAACAAAGCCAGATTAGGGATCTGCTTAATAATGTAAAGATATAACTTTTTTCTCTGCACTTGGATAGCTGACATCACATCTGTCCTTTAGTGTTACCTCCATTGCATGCGGTAAAAAGTGTCAGGAAGAGATATTGGCAATGCTTCATGCTGCCCTGTTATAAGCATCAGAAAATGTCTGAGTGAGTGTATTAGTCTGTTTTCATGCTGCTAATAAAGACATACCTGAGACTGGGTCATTTATGAAGGAAAGAGGTTTAATTGACTTACAGTTCCATATGGCTGGAGAGGCCTCACAATCATGGTGAAAGAGCAAGGGATGTCTTACATGATGGCAAGCAAGAGAGAGCTTGTACAGAGGAATTCTCCTTTATAAAACCATCAGATCTCATGAGACTTATTCACTGTCATGAGAGCAGCATGGGAAAGACCCACCCCCATGATTTAATTACCTCCCACCAGGTCCCTCCCATGACACGTGGGAATTGTGGGAGCTACAATTCAACATGAGATTTGGGTGGGGACACAGCCAAACCATTTCAGTGGGCAAAGAATTTTCTCAATGCATATTAGAAAATGGTCTATATACAGCTATGCTGCTCAAGGATTCTCTTAAGAAAAGATCAAATGAGAAGTTTTGTTCCTCTGATAATAAGTGGATTTATAAAACAGCAAGCATCCAGCATAAACCAGAGGTGTATTTTATCTCCTGCTCTCTGACTTATTTATTTACTGTCATGGCTTAATGGAATTATGCGGCAAAAAAATAAATAAGACTAGGTTAAGATTGTTTAATAGTTGTAATAATGTTTCCCTCTTTCAGGCTGTCCTCTTCTGTGAAGCCTTGAGCTAGCTACGTTACTTTTAGTCAAAATAAACTTCAAAAATCTCTCTTCTGCAGATGCAGAAGTTGCAAATTAGAGAAATGAATTTATATTCTCTAAAGTAATACCATTTGTATTTAATAGAGTTTCAATCTCAGGATTCAAAAGTCATCACTCTGTCATGTGTAGTGTAATAAGACACAAAATTTCTAAAGGGAAGCATGAAAATGGAACCCATGACAAAATATGATTTTTTGAACAAATTTTTTCTTTATATACAAAAGTGTCAGAGCAATAGCTTAGTTACTGTTATAAGATGTTTTGATGTGATGATAGTAACAACTGCCTTTTAACAAAATAATGCATTGCTTATTAGCTCATTGAACTACAATGGAGAACATTGTTTCCAGAGGCAATAATGTCTTATAATACAGTGACTCTTGCCCTGTCCCCTACTGTGTTATTTTCTTTCCTCCAAGCTGACAAAGGCATTCAACAAAATGAGGAAATAGTGGAGGGCACAGCTGAATCAAATTTTGAAACAAACAGCCTAGGATAAGTGTGTCACATGAGAACAGCTCTTAATTGTTCCATGATAATTCACTCAAAATACAATGATGTTGTTAGAAAGAATGAACTAGTTTTTTGCGGATTAAGAGAAAATCATTTGTAGAAGATGAAAGGGCATCTTGCATTTGAATAGACAGAGAAAAGAACTGCAAGAACATGAAATTACTTTTTTGCCTGATAAGACATTTATCTGTGTTTCTCTATCCTCATGCTAAATGAGGTCTAGAAGATAAAGTCCTTTGAAAGCAGAAATGGTATTAGGTTGGAATTCTGTTCCAGCCACTCAGAAGGCAGATATAAATAAGCATGGCAGTGATGCTGGTTACTAATGAAGAGACCTCTTTTGCAAAAAGCATCTTAACTAGCTTAAAAAAAAAAAAAAAAAAAAAAACTGCCCAGGGCTTTTCACCAAAAAGCCAAGGCTCCATTCTATATATTAAGGAAATAAAATGTGTAAAGTAGCCTCCCTTCACTGGAAGAATTTGGAACCTGGAATATATTAGCTCAAATCATGCTTCTAGTATTCATACAGATTTCAAAGCAGATAGTCATGGTATTTTTCCTTTGAAGATAAATCTAAAATCTTTCCAATTCACTCACTTTTTTGAACAATTCATCCTCCTTTAGTGGGAACCTAATACTATACAATAGATTCCGTATTGAACTTATTCTTCAGCTTCCCTGATCTGTCTGCCATTTGCTATGCCTTTTCCAATGGAAAGTCTTCACCACACTGTAATGGTGATCCTCCCAGGCCTTCAGTCTCACGCATGCTCAGGGGAATCGTCAATGGGTAGTATGTTTGGTGGGAATGGGAGGAAGCAGAGGTCTTTGCCTGAAATAGCACAAGTGGGCTTTTGAGTACAGACGGTTCTCAACTTACAATGGTTTAATGTATAATTTTCAGTGTTACAATGGTGCAAAAGCAATATCCATTCAGCAGAAGCAATACTTTGAATTTTGATTTTTGGTCTTTTTCCTGCTAGGAAAATGTGATACGATACTCTCTCATGATGCTGGGCAGCAGCAGTGAGCTGCAGCCCCCAGTCAGCCCTGTGAGCACAAGGAGGAGCAACAGAGACTGTACGATGTAGTGTACCAAATTCAATAAATTACATGAGATAGGAAAACTTTATTATAAAATAGACTTTGTGTTAGATGATGTGGCCCAACTGTGGGAAATAACGTAAGTGTTGTGAGGATGTTTAAGGAAGGCTGGACTAAGCTATGGTGTTCAGTAGGTTAGATGTATTAAATGCGTTTTCAACTTATGATATTTTCAATATGCAATGGGTTTATTGGGATGTATTTCCATTGTAAGTTAGTAAGTGAAAAATACTGGGGACTTTTTGGAATAAGGGAGAAGTTGGTTACCTTTTAACAAGGATTTCCCTAGAAATATGGATCTATCTGCTGTTAAAGAGAGAGTAAAATCCCGGGATGGAGAAATGAAAGTGGAGCAGGGAAGCTGTAAGTGGTATGGCAGATGACTGATTCTGAATAAACCACCTTTTCAATACAACTCAATCATGCATAAATAAAATGCATGCTATGTTCAATATATATATTCCTGGGCACTTGAGGAAATTAAAAACTAGAACACAGAATAGTGAGACAAACGCATGTAAAAGCTAGACGTACTGTGGAATCAAATGCCCAAACCAATAAAGAGAACAGGAACCTAGATATTAGAATCAATGTCAGGGAGTGAAGGTAATTCTGAATTCCTAGTATAAACTAGAATCCTCAAAGGGGACCCAGGTTACTTTGAGGAGAAATAAATGTATTAATTCCTTTAGGAGGGAAGCATTCTGATTTTAGTCTTTAAGGAATCCACGGAGTAAATTCTAATAAATGTTGAATATAGACAAAAAAACTCTGTAAAATTCAAGAAAAAATTACAATATATGAGAGTCAATGACAACAAAAATAATTTAGAAACACAGTACTTCAGATTTAGATATTATTACATAAAAGTATAAAGTAACTATAGGCCTGCATCTGAGATATTGCAGGTTTGGTTCCAGAGTACCTCAATAAAGTAAATATTGTAATAAAGTGAGTCACACAAATTTTTTGTTTTCCTGGCACATGTAAAAGTTATGTTACACTAGACTGTAGTCTCTTGGGTATGCAATAGCATTATTTCACACCTAAGTAAATGAACAATTCACATACTGTAATTAAAAAATACTTCGTTGCTAAAATATGCTAATGATCACCTGAGCCTTCAGTAAGTAGCAATCTTTTTGCTGTTGGAGGGTCTTCCCTCTATGTTGATGGCTACTGACCAGTCAGGGTGGTGGTTGCTGAAGGCTGGGGTAGCTGTGGCAATTTCTGAAAATAAGACAACAATAAAGGTTGCCACATTGATTGACTCCTCCTTTCATGAAAGGTCTGACTGTAGCATGTGGTGAATGAGTGATAGCATTTTTTCGCAGTAGAACTTTTTTCAAAATTGGAGTCAATCCTCTCACACCCTGCTTTATCAAGTAAATGTAATATTCTAATTTCTTTGTTCTCGTCTCAGCAATGTTCATAGCATCTTCACCAGGAATAGATTCCATGTCAAGAAACTACTTGTTTTGCTCATCCATTAGCAGCAACTCCTCATCCTGTCAAGTTTTATGAGACTGCAGCAATTCAGTCACAACTTGATGTTCCAGTTCTAATTCTAGTTCTCTTGCTGTTTCCACCACATCTGCCATTACTTCCTCCACGAAAGTTTTGAACCCCTCCAAGTCATCCGTGAGGTTTGGAATCAACTTCCAAACTCCTGCTAATGTTGACATTTTGACCTCCTCTCTTGAATCATGAATGTTCTTAATGACAAATATAATGGTGAATCCTTTCCAGAAAGCTTTCCATTTACTTTGCCCAGGTCCATTGTAGAGATCATCATCTATGGCAGCTATAGCCTTACAAAATGTATTTCTCAAATAATAAGACTTGAAAGACAAAATGACTCCTTGATCCATGGACTGCAAAATGGACGTGTTAGCCGGCATGAAAACAACATTAATCTTCTTGTACATCTTGATCAGAGCTCTTGGGTGACCAGGTGCATTTTCAATGAACACTCATATTTTGAAAGGAATATTTTTTTCTAAGCAGTAGGTCTCAATAGTGGGTTTTAAATACTCAGGAAACCCTGCTGTACACAGATGTGCTATCATCCAGGCCCTGTTGTTCCATAGAAAGAGCATTGGCAGATTCAACTGAGCATAAATCTTAAGGGCCCTAGGATTTTTCAAATGGTAAATGAGCATTAACTTCAACTTAAAGTCACCAACAACATTAGCCCCTAACAAGAGTCAGTCTATCCTTTGAAGCTTTGAAGCAAGGCATCAACTTCTCTCTAGCCATTCAAGTCCTAGATGGGCATCTTCTTCCAATAGAAGGCTGTTTTATCTACATCGAAAGTTTGTTGTTTAGTGTAGCCGCCTTCATCAATTATCTTAGCTGGATCTTCTCGAAAATTTGCTGCAGCTTCTTTATCAGCACTTGCTGTTTTACCTTGCACTTTTAAGTTATGGAGATGGCTTCTTGTTTTAAATCATATGAACCAACCTCTCCTAGCTTCACACTTTTTATCTGCATCTTCCTCACCTCTTTCAGCCTCACAGAATTGAAGACAGTTAGGGCGTTGCTCTGGATTAGGCTTTGATTTAAGGGAATGTTGTGGCTGGTTTAATCTTCTATCAAGGTCACTCAAATGTTCTCCATATCAGCAATAAGGTTGTTCCACTTTCTTATCATTTGTGTGTTCACTGGAGTAGCACTTTTAATTTTCTTTAAGAACTTTTCCTTTTCATTCATCACTTGGTTAACTGTTTCCTGCAAGGGGCCTAGCTTTCAGCCTATTTCGGCTTTCAACATCCCTTTCTCACGAAACTTAAATTATTTCTAGCTTTCAATTTAAAGCAGGAGATGTGCAACTCTGCCTTTCGCTTAAGAGGCTATTGTAGAATTACTAATTTACTAATTGGCCTAATTTCAATATTATTGTGTCTCAGGGAATAAGGAGGCTTGAGGAGAGGGAGAGATATGGTGGGTAATAGCTGGTTGGTGAAGCAGTCAGAACACAATATTTATCGATTAAGATTTCCATTTTATATGAGCATAGTCTGTGGTGTCTCAAAATAATTACAATAGTAACATCAAAGATTACTGATCACAGATTACCATAACATATATAATAATAATAATGAAAAAGTTTGAAATACCTTGAGAATAACCAAAATGTGACACAGAAACATGAAGTGACCATATGCTGTTGGAAAAATGGTGCTAATAGATTCGCTCAATGCAGGGTTGCCAAAAGCCTTTAATTTGTTTAAAATAAAAGGAACATCTGTGAAACACAATAAAGCCAAGTGCAATAAAATGAAGTATTTTGTATGTATGCAATGTTTAAGAAGTAAAACATGTACAAAACTCATCAGAGAAAAAGGAAAAGGGACTATAATCAATAGCTTTGTTTTTGATCATTTCTAGGTTATATGGATCAACTATGCTAGAGAAGACAAGCAAAGCTGGAGATGCGTGTGTGTATGTGGGTGTGTATGCGTGGGGTGTGTGTATGTATGTGTGGTATATGGTGTGCATGCATGTGGTAGATGTGTAGATGTGTGTGTGCTATGTGTGAGATAGTGTGTGTTTGTGTGTGTGTGTGCACCAGATTATAGGAATAAGTGAACAAAAGAGGCAGCTAAGAATTCCCAGGCCAAGACCCAGGTGAAACATAGATCCAAAAAGTGAAAAAAGGGATAGCATATAATAGTAACCCAGAAAAATCTGGAATAGCTGTCAGAAAGCATTACTAAAGGTAAGAAAGCTACTCACAATGCTAAAAATTCACCTGTGCTGTGGTCTGAGTGCTCCTCAAAGTTTATGTGTTGAAATTTAATCCCTGTTTCGGTGGTATTAAGAGGTGGACCTTTTCAGAAGTGGTTAAGTCATCAGGGAAGAGTCCTCATGAATAGATGAGTGCCTTAGGAAACGGCTGGAGGGAGCTAGCTTAGGTTCCCCCTTCTATCTCATCTGTAATGTGAGAATACAACATTCATCCCTTCTTGGGGACACAGCAACAAGGCACCATCTTAGCAGCAGAGACCAGGACTTCCCCAGTATTGAACCTGCCAGTGCCTTGATATTGGACTTTCCGTCTCTACAACTGTGATAAATAAATGTATGTTATATATAAATTACCCAGTCTCAGGTATTTTGTTATAGCAGCACAAAAAGACTAAGACATTCAGGAAGATATAATAATAAATTGTATGAACCTAATAATATGATCTCAAAATACGCAAAACAAACATTGACAGAACTAAAATGAGAAATAGACATATTTAAAATGAAAATGGACAATTTTAAACATGTCTTTCAATAATTAATAGAACATGCTGGGCACCGTGGCTCAAGCCTGTAATCCCAGCACTTTGGGAGGCCGAGGAGGTTGGATCACCTGAGGTCAGGAGTTTGAGATCAGCCTGGCCAACATGGTGAAACCCTGTCTCTACTAAAAATACACAAATTAGCTGGGCTTTGTGGCGGTGCCTGTAATCCCAGCTACTCAGGAGGCTGAGGCAGGAGAATCACTTGAACCTGGGAGGTGGAGGTTGCAGTGAGCTGAGATAGTGCCACTGTACTCCAGCATGGGCACCAGAAAAAACTAATAAAACAAGTGGAGAAAAACAGTAAAAAATAACAATTTTAAGTACTCATTACAGACTTAACCCCCCTAAAACATACTTCTCTGCTCAATAACTATAGATACATTTTTAAGATGACAAATGGGGCAGTCAAACTGATCATATGCTGCCACACAAATCATGTCTCAAAAATTTCAAATAAATGAGATGACACAGACTGTAATTTCTAATCAAGGTATAATTAATTTACAAATCTGAGAAAAAAATCCGTTTAAAAATAGCTATATATCGAGAGCCAAGAAGTATACTTCTAAGTTCCTCATGGTCATAGAGGAAATCACAATGAGAATTAGAAAATATTTTTAGTTGAATGAAAAATAATATGCTACTTTCAAAAGTTGCATGCTGCTATTAAAATATGCTTATATGGAAAAGTGCACCCTTAAAAGTGCATAGACTGCACATGTATCCCTGAACTGAAAAGCCTAAAAAGTACATAGACTAGTAATAAAAAAGGCTGACAATTAATCATCTGAGCGTCCATCTCAATAATTATAAGAAAATAGTAAATTACACTCAATGAAAATAGAAGAAAAGAAATATTATAGGGACATAAATGAAGAAATATAAAAAGACTAGCAAAATTGTTAACTCTTTGGTCACACGATAAAAACAAGACATAAATAATATCAGGAATTAAAAAGGAAACAAATAGTAAAGCACAGTAAGTTGGTAAAATTATAATCCAATGTATCTAATAAAATAAACATATAGAATGATACAACTTAGCGAAATTTGCATGAAAAAGAAATCTTTGTAGTTTTATGCTTATTAAATATATATATATATTTACATGTTTCCTAAAGGAAAATTATTGGCTATTCCAGACATCTCTAGTCAGTGACTTATAGCAAACACTAAAGCAGGAAATGATGAATTTGCTTTTTATAAAAATAAAAAATGGAGAGCAAGTACCTCACCTTAATATCTGAAACCAAAATGACCAGCATATGCGAAGCAAATGTAGTAGAACTTTTATAAAGAAACACCAGTAATTGAAAGAAAACCTTAATGGAGTGATTAAACATCACATAAAATATAACTGAAGAAAGAATGAGAAAACTGGAAGACAGATGTAAAGAAATTACTTCGGCTGCAACATAGGAAAACAGAAAGAGGAAAGTAGTAAAGTGATGATCCTGGACATGAAAGATTGAATGGGACAGTTTAATGATATATCTTATGATGGTCTCAGAAGAATACATAAAATGAAAGAGGTGAAATGTTCAAAAAGGCATTGGCCGGATTCAAAGACACAGAGTACACCACATCAACTATTCAAAGCAGAGTAGTTGAAAAACTACCACCTTAGTAAGTCTATAGAAAACCTCGGGAAAAGGTAGCCAGAGAGGAAGAAACCTACGAAGAACCACACTTGAACTTCCAGCAGCCTTCTTAAATACTTGGAAGTCAAATAATAGGAGAATAAATCTTTCAAAGTACTCACAGAACATAACTGAGTTGAAAGAAATATATTTTCATATAAAGAAAATCTAAATTCATTTAGCACTAACTTCACTAAAGGCATGTTAAAAGTTTTTCTTCAAGAAGAAGAAAAATAACCCGCCAGGTAAGATGCAAAAAAGAATTGTGAGAAAAGAAACTGGTAAATATGTTGCATTAGCTATTTAATGCTGAGTAATAAATTGGCTCAAAAAGTGGTATTAAAACAACAATAACCACTGCTTATCTCAGTTTCTTTGCAGCAGGAATCTGGAAGTGGCTTGGGCAGATGGTTGTGGCTTGGGGTCTTTCATGAGGTTGCAGTCATATGCGAGCTGGGGTTGCAGGCAGGTAAAGGTGTACATGTGGCCAGAGGATCCACTTTCTAGGTGACTCACTCACACAGCTGGAAATTGGTGTTGGGACTAACTTTCCCTAACAGTGCTTGGATGTTTTCACAGTGTGGTGGCCAGACTTTTCCAGAACCAGTAATCCAAGTAGCACCAAGATAGAAGTTAGAATGTTGTTATAACCTATTCTTGGCAGTCACACACTATGGCTTATACTACGTTCTGTTGACCACACTGGTCAGTCACTATTCAATGTGAGAGGACATCACACAAACATGTATACATATAATTAGAGCCAATCACTGTCTTCATAACATAATAATAATGATGTGTTCATTTTTAAAAGAAAAGCAAAATTAAGGCTAAAATTATCATTGGCAGAAACATTATCAGAGCTAAATTAGTCAAAGTCTTTTAATTATTCAGTGAGAGGATAAAGAAACTGATTTACAGTTTTGTGCCCATGGCAGCATTTTAATAGTAGCCAGTTATAAAATTAGAATATGTTATGTACCTTATGAATTGCTTAGAAAAAGGAAAGAAAAACAGAGGTGAACAAACTAAAATATAATTAATTGAAAAGATAAAGAAAATGGAAGAAGCATAAAAAATGGAACAGTTCCAAAGCACAGTGAAAATGGTAATCAGTTCTGATATATTAGTAATCACATTAAGTTAAAGAAGAATAAACTTGCCAGTTAAAAATGCCAATTTGAATAAAATATATCTATTTCAATTATATAAAACGAGATGTAGAAAGTTGAAAATTAATGGTTAGAAGATATGTATGAAAACAAAAGGAAAATATAAAATAAAAATGTGTGTAGCTATATTAACATAGAAATATAGAGTAACCAAGAATAATTTTTTAAATAATTTTTTAAATGTAAAAGAAGCCTTTGTTGTTCATATATATGAACATATATATGTTCATATATATGTTCATATATATGTTCATATATACGAACATATATATGTTCATATATACATATATACATATACATATATATGTTCATATATACATATACATATATGTTCATATATATACGAACATATATGTTCATATATACATATACATATATGTTCATATGTGTATATATACACATACATATATACACATATGTGTATATATACACATACATGCACATATGTATATATAACGTATGTATATATGCACATATGTATGTGTATATACACATGCACATATGTATGTGTATATACACATGCACATATGTATGTGTATATACACATGCACATATGTATGTGTATATACACATATGCACATATGTATGTGTATATACACATATGCACATATGTATGTGTATATACACATATGCACATATGTATGTGTATATACACATATGCACATATGTATGTGTATATACACATATGCACATATGTATGTGTATATACACATATGCACATATGTATGTGTATACGCACGCACATATGTATGTGTATATACACATGCACATATGTATGTGTATATACACATATGCACATATGTGCGTGTATATACACATATGCACATATATACATGCATATATACACACATATACACATACATATATACACATATACACATACATATATGTATATATACACATATACACACATGTATATATACACATGCGTATACATGTATATATACACATGCGTATATATGTATATATACACGTGTATATATGTATATATACATGTTTATATGTGTGTACACATATACATATATGTGTATATATGTACATATACACATATACATATATGTGTATATATGTACATATACACATATACATATATGTGTATATATGTACATATACACATATACATATATGTGTATATATGTACATATACACATATACGTATATGTGTATATATGTACATATACACATATACACATATACATATATACATATACATATATACACATATATGATGCAAAAATTTTATTTACTACCTATGCAAGCTGAATAGATGGAGAAATATTCAATTTTCTCATACAGAAAACCCCCATATCATAAAACTGTTTATTCTCCACAGATTGATTCTATTGGTTCAGGGAAATTTCAATCAAAATCCCAACAGATTTTATTTTTGCATCTTGAAAAACAGATTCTAAAATTTATTTGGCATAGCAAAAGCTGAAAAACAGGAGTTTCCTAAAGAAGAAAAATAATGTGGGAATATCCCCTTGCATATTCCAAGACTCATTATAAAGCCACAGTATTAGCTAGAGACATGCTATTCAATTAATGCTGAACATCAAGGTGACATTGATGCTGACACTCCTGGGGACCACACTGGAACTTCTGATCCTGAGCACACAAAACAGAATGGGACTGCTGGGTCAGAGAGAGGGAGTATATTCAATCTTATAAGATAATCTCAAACAATTTTCCAAGTGGTTAGACCCATGTCTTTTCCATTTGCACAGACTGTGAACTCCCACTCCATGCATCTAAGATTGATTTGTCTACCGTATTTTTTGCTAACAGGGTACATCTGTAATAGTATTTTATAGTAAATATTGCAAGAGACATGCTATTCAATTGTCCCTAATAGGCCAGGAGCAGCCCATGAATATACAGAAATTATATATAACACATAGCATTGCAACTACTTAGGGAAGAGTAGACTAGAAAATAAATGGGGCCAGAATATTTGTTTATCTCTATGGGAAAAAAACAAAATTGGATTCCTGCCGCGTACCATATACTAAAATAAATTCCAGGTGGATTAAAGACTGGAATATTAGGGGCAAAACTTTAAAATATCTGAAGAAGATATTTGGGTGAATTTTTATGACTGAAGTAGGAAATAATTTTCTTAACTAGGACTCCAACAGGAATGAAACAGAAAGAAACGGCATAAAGGAAAATACTGATAAATTGTATTGTATTAAAAACAACACCTTTTCATTAAGACATCACGGAAGTGGAACATATGCAACAAAACTGGGAGAAGACATCTGTAGCACACATCACTGATTAATTATATTAATTCCCAGAATATATAAAGAATTTGTATTGATTGGGAAATAGTGGAAATGCTGACAATATTAAGTGCTGATGAAAAGCAAGAGTACCGGACAATCTAAATATTTGTTCTAAGTAGACATCCCAAGGAAATATTTCTATGTGTACTAGAAGGAATGTGTAAAAACATGCAAAACATCAAAAATATGTTGAACATGAGCACAGAAATACTGCTGTGGACTAAACTCTCTCCCCACAGTTCACATTTTGAAGCCCTAACTCTGACTACCTCAGAATGTGACTATGTTTGGAGGTAAGGATTTCCAAAGGAAATTCATTTAAAATGGATTCATTGGGGAATGCCCTAGCCAATCTGACCAGTGTCCGTTTAAGAAGAGAGGATGAGGACACGGGGAGACACCAGAGTTGTTCACACATGGAGAAAGGCCATGTGAAGACACTGAGAAGGCATCCGCCTGCCAGCGAAGATAGGGCTCAGGAGAAACCCAATCTGTCAACATTTTGATCTTGGACTTCCAGACTCCAAAAAATATGGGAAAATAAATTTCTGTCGTTTAAGCCAACCAGTCTGTAGCATTTTATTTTGGTGGCCCTAGCAAATGAATACACTTACCCTGTTCGTAGAGTCAAAAGAAAAAGAACAGAAGAAAAAAGAAAAGAAAAAGATGACAGGTTGATGGGTGCAGCAAACCACCATGGCACCTGTATACCTAGGTAAAAAACCTGCACATTCTGCACATGTACCCCAGAACTTAAAGTATAATAAAAAGTAAAGAAAAAAATCCAAGTATTCACCTATAGTAAAATGGGCATTAAAATGTGGTCTATTAAAGTGAGGCAATATTATACTGGGGTGAATCTGAGTGACCTACAGTTCCTCATACTCATTGGGTAAATCTCTTTGAAATGTAACGCTGAGAAAACAAGGATTTAGAAGTATATTTTGACCAAGATGGCCTATTTCCTTTCAGTTTGACTAAACTTCAGAAAGGTTTCTTCCCGACCTAAGCCCCTGATCTCCCTTTTCTTAGTGAGTTTATTTTAGAAAACTTGAAATTGTAAATTCTTTCTCTGCCCCTTTAAGATGTGAATCTCCCAGCCTCTTGCCAGTTTTACAACATAGCAATGTGTTTCACATGGATTTGGGAGTTATTCTATGAAATGTAATCATCAAAAAAGATAGGGCCGTTATCTCTCAGTCTCTGGGGGAGGAGGGGTGGGAGCCTAACTTCTACTCTCCCTTAATTCATGCCAATTAGCAAAAATAGATGGCCTAACTGTATTTAGTGACCTCCAGGCTTATGTCCTTCAGAACCTTTGCACCAACTTGACCCAGTGTTGAAAATCTCTCCTGCCTTTTGTTTCAACATAGTTCACTCTATATTCCATATTGCGGTATTTGTGAACCTATTGTGGTCATCTTGAAAAAAGTCATCTTTGCCTGGTTACCTTGTCTGGTGCAATTTTACTTTGATAATGTAAAGCTTAATATCATTTCCTAAAGATTTCAATCAATAGAAATATATAGTTTAGAGGTTTATATACATATGGTAAAACCATTTTTAAAAACTGCAAAATTAAAGGCCTGTATTTGGAAGCTGATTTTCTTTGGGTCAGGTAGTATACACAGAATTAGTGATGTTCTAGTTCTTAAATTAGTTCAGAAGTTGCTTCGCAGTTGTATAGATATCTCTCTCTTTCATATATATAGATGTATAACAATGTATGTAAATATATTTAAATATATGAGTACTACCTAGTAAATAGAAACCAAAGAAATTGGTACTGACTCTGAGAAATAATTTCAAAAATGAGAGAAAGGAGCAAAACAGAAAAATAAAGCCAAACAAAAACAAATAAGTAACCCCAATAAGTGGGTGGGAATTGGCTATCTACATGGTCAGGTTTTTTAACCATAAACCACATTTGGGATGCACTTATGCTTCAAATAGGATTTTAGTCCTCTATAGACCAAATTGTAGCCTAATTATAGCAAATCAAATCAGGATTGCAGCATGAATCCATCATCATCATCATCATAACCATTCTCACTAATATGTACTTCAATTCAATATTAATCTTCTTTTACCAACAACCCTCTGAATATCATTTAAATTTTTGCTAAAAATAATTTGAAGCAGGAATATAGATAAAGCCAGAGGAACCGTCAGCAGTAACACAGTGATAGGTGGACTTTCTTTAATGTAACTCAGTGCAGGGGAATCTTAGTCCCTGTGTTTTTCTATCCCAACTCTCCCAAATCCAGGAGAATAAATGTGATTCACTAAGCACAGAAAAATACCAAGTTATGGCAGGTGGTGCTTGGGAACAGTGGCCATTCCATTTTGAGTTAGCTACAGAAGTTTGAAACAGAGCCAATCTGAGTTTGACTGACAGATGAAATGGTGGTCTCATGTAATCTTCACTGTTACAGAGGTAAATGCTTTTCTAATCATAAAAGCTGCATGGCCCTTTGACAAATATCCTATGAGCCCCTTTCCCTCCTGGTGTTATAATTTTCATTTTTTCATTAGCTTAGGTGTTCTGAATTTCCAGAAAAAGGAAGATTAGAATCAAGATCATGTGTAGAATAGTATGATATAGAAATTTGTGCTGTAGTAGAGTTTATTTTAATGTACTTTATGTCCTTACTTCCTTTGATGAATGCAAGCCTCTAGGCAGACAAGCACGACTTGAATGTTAGATTCCAATACTCTGTCTCCCAGGGACCTTGGAGGGTAGATAACATTACAGAATGGGCATCAATCAAAAGTATATAAGATTTTGTAGTGAAGAAGTTTATCTAATAGAGAATCAGTGGAGTGAGGCAAAAATTGCTGTAAAGTAGCAAGGAACTAATTTACTCAAGTTATTCTTTCCTATTACTTTAAACTTAAATACGTAATAAAAGTTTGAACATTTACCATATATAAAGCATTGCACTTAAGGAGATACGTTCTGGGAATTAAGTTTAGTAAAAACAATAGGTCAAAACCTATTGATCGAGGCTAAACCTGTTACAAATTTTTAAAAAATACTCTATTTAATTAACTTTGCTACTGGAAGTTGGAAGTTTTGTGCAACAACCGTAGATAACAAAAATTGTTTTAGCTGGAATTTGACAATAGAGGCAAATATTTGCATAAACAAAATTGCTCCCGGAATTAAACTTGTAAAAGCAAATAAGAGGCATATTTTCTTATTGCAACAATGCTCAAAGTTTGTAGAAATAATCTTTAATTTTATGTGCAGAGGAAATTGACTTTGCCTTTATGGTGTGCTATCTATATTCATGCAACCAATCATTTCTTAGCACTCTTTATGTGTCAGGCACAATTTCTGGTGCTGAGGATTTAAAAATTAAAGTCTGTGCCACCAAGTTACTCATTAGACTAATTGGAATGATCGAAAAGTGAACAGCTACCATTTTCTAGTCCAGAAAGATCAAATTATACAAAATTCAATCACTGACAGGCTCAGCTTAAGGAACAAATCACAGAGGAGGTGTGTCCCAGCTGTTTCAGAAATAATTAGGGATTGATCAGGTGGGTGGCAGAACAGGAACTCATAGTTGGGTCAGGTGTGACCGTGAAAGGGTAGAGCATTCTAGGCAGAAAGAGCTAGCAGGTCATTCATTCAGGAAGGAAAAATTCAGTCCTAAAAATACACTGAGATCCAGAAAATAAAAATAGCAGTTAATCCATTTGGTGCCTGGGTGAATTTGATCCTAAACTTGCACTGACCTCAAAACAGTCAGAAACTCAGCCGCTTTTTGTCTGTGTCAGTGCCAGTTCATTCATTCACTGGCTTCTAATTCTAAGTAATTTATTCTTGGTGTCTCTATATGTTCTACACATTCCGTACATTTTCATTCTTAGCAGTCATAGATCTAAAGATCTAAGAAGTATGTAGGGCAGTTTTTAAATTCCCCAAAACTTTTAGAACTTTCAAGATATATATTTCAAGATAATATATTGAACTTTCCAGCATCCTAGAGATACTCATGTCTCAAAATTACCCCCTCGTAGCCCAAGGTTATCCATCAGAACTCCTTAGATTTCACCACAGCTTATTATAGTGAAAAGACACCCACATGTCCCTGAGTGCACATTCAATTTATGAGCATCAAAGGACAGATGAGCATCAAAGACAGATTTAGATACATTAAAATGTAGTTTTTATGTTTATAATGATATGCAGCCACATAAAAATAATATAGTAAACACCTTGGACTACAAAACAGCTGTGGGGAAGTTTTTGACAAGAAAATATCCCAGTTTGAGAACATTAGATTAGACATGAACATAAATTAAATATATTATTAATTCATTTGGAAGGGTTGAACATTTAAGAAGGCTGTTTCTACCAGCAGAAACAAAGATGGAGAACTGCCAAATAGTTGTGAGTTGCTCAGAATTCTGCTTGGCTTCCAGAAATTGAATTGGAAGCGGATGTCTGCCCACAAAGTGAAAATGATCTTATTAGTAAACACATCTTTAAATGAGACACACACTGACAAAAATGATTCTTTAGTGGACTCCCAGTCAAAGGAAAAGAAATATTAGATAAGCTAGAAAATATGTCATAGTGCTCTAATTCTAGAATTTGAGAGTGACAATTTAGAGGCAATTTTCAGGGATGCTTGAAAAAAAATTTGTAATTTATCTGTGATTCGTTTTTTGTGACCAGTTTGATGAACAACAAGAAATGGCTGATGACATTTACTAAATATCTGAAAAAGAATGCCCAGATTCCATGCTTTTTAGTTCTGTTTCAGACCCTAGTATATTTACTTTTGGTTGGTCAGAAGCACCAAAACAGACTTTACAACAGGAATTTAAGAAATTAAAAAGTATCTGTTCTGAAAAGAGAAAAAATACTATTACTGATAAGAAAATAATCAATTTTACTTTATCAGTATTTATTATTGGTTCTCTGTATAGCTGTTGTTTTAAATTTCCTATATTAGAACAGATTAGTTTTTGCTTTCTCTGCATTTTGAATCAAAATTTTAGTGGCAGTTTCATATATAAGTGTTTAGTTAGGTATTTGGAGCTGTTTCAAGGAGGATGACTTATATTTCTTGACTTCCAAAACATGAATGAAGAAATATATTATATGGCATTATGTCACAGTTTCTTATGTCATACTTTTGACATGGTCCTCAATAGATATTTCTTGATGTCATTGAACTAGAGAGGGGTGTGGTAAGTTTAGTAGTTACCACCAGGGGGCAGCAGAGGCTGTAGGATCTCAACACATGGAAGTGGCTCTACTGGCTAAGGTGGGTACAGCCTTGCACTGTCCCTCCAGTTCTGCTGGGTTGTGGTTCATCTGAGGGTGATCATCAGAATGGAACAGGAAGTTTTTTTAAAAAAATTCTGGGACCATATAAGTATCAAATCATAATCTTTGAAGAAGTGGCCAGAACATGTCTAGTTTCCAAAACTATTGGTTATCTTCATGCATGAGAACAGGTAATAAGAGAAGGATAGGAAAGAGTTTCTCTGCAGTTGGTAGAAAAAACGATTAATCTCAAAGAAGAATGCCTACTTTTCCATGGGTTGACCCTAGGGAACTGTGGAATTGCTGCTGAAGTGCCAGAGTTTGGTCTAGGTCCTGCTGCTTGCAGCACAGAAAGCCAATCATTGAGATGATAAGTATTGCCAGGGAAGAAGGCTTTAATTAGGTACTGCAGCCGAGAAGATGAGAGATCAATCTTAAACCCATCTCTCTGACCAAGTACAATAGGGGAAGGAATGTAGCTAAGTGTAGGAGGGCTAAGCAAGAGAAGCTGGTCAACAGGAGGCAGGTGGTTCGTTAGACAATCATGATGGGTGAGGGGTCTGGGATCTCATTGTCCAGATGTAGTGACCTGGTAAGTATCAGCTCCTTCATACTTCTCCTTCTGGGAGGTCTGATGGCCAGTTTCCTGAGGAAGGAACTCAGATAAGACCAATGCAAGTTTCACACTTTAAGACCAGGAGAGTTAATATCTATGTGTATTCAAACACAGCAAATATCAGTTCTATGGGACAATTGTGCCAGTTTGAGTGTAATGGACTATAGATGGGATTTTCAGGGGCTTATTTGGGGATATTGGGTTTCATATTCTGTAGTTACATGGCAGAAAGAAAAGTAAAACAGACTTATTTTAACTGATAAGGAATAACTACTGACTCGTCTCAGCTGTAAGTTGACCCACAAAGAGTTCTGCTTACGCTCTTTTGTTCTGGCTCTAACTGCAGCTGCTCTCATGCCTCTAACTTACATCAGTGATTTCAGTGTTCACTTACATATAGAAATGCTTCCCTCTTTGGTTCCCTCTTTGTTAAGTTTTTCATTTTTGCATTAAAAGCATTGATGGTAGTTAGAACACAAAGTCTTGATTCTGTCTCAGTTATACTACCTGCCCCCCGCCTCCTTTTCTGAGGTAGAGTCCCTTGTATATTACCATCCTCTTATTATGCTGGACTCAGGAGTATGTAACTGTTTCTTTTCGTCTTCCAAGATGAAGAGTAAGAAAATAGGACGGGGCAGTGGCTCACACCTGTAATCCCAGCACTTCAGGAGGAGGCCGAGGCAGGTGGATCAATTGAGGTCAGGAGTTTGAGACCAGCCTGGCTAACATGGTGAAAACCCGTCTCCACTGAAAATACAGAAAATTAGCTGGGTGTGGTGGCGCATGTCTGTAATCCCAGTTACTTGGGAGGCTGAGGCTGGAGAATTGCTTGAACCTGGGAGGGGGAGGTTGTAGTAAGCTGAAATCGCACCAACTGCTCTCCAGTCTGGGTGAAAGAGCGAGACTCTGTCTCAAAAAAAAAAAAAAAAAAAAAAGAAAAGGAAAAGAAAATATCTTTATATGCGTATCTTTGAGCAGATTGAATCTAGAGTGGTCAAAGAGTAGCTGGATAAAGCCTGGGACAGCAAAGGGGATGTAAGCGCAGAAATGTTTAATGTTCTATGGAATATTACTTACAAAATAGGGTTTGTTTTCTGGGCTCAGAAGCTTCATTTGATCCAAGATAGACTCCAAGAATAAAGGAGTTTTTGTGATATTCAGTTCCTCTAACTCTTTTTGGAGCACTGCAAGCTCCTTTCCCAGCTAAGTTAATGAATTTGAATTTTATTCTGAGCGTGTTGGAAAGACTTTGGAGGGTTTTATCCAGGAAAAACAGGTTCAATTTATGTTTAAAAGAAAGGAATATAACTGTTCAATGATGAACAGATGGTAAGGAATAAAAGTAAAAGCAAGAAGATCAATTAGGAAAAAAATCATGATTTTAGATGATGTCATTTAGACTGTGATAGTAGTAATGGAGATGGATAAAGTAGACAGATATAGTACATGCTTTCAAGTTTCTAGATAAACTAGGTCTATTTTTGTTTGGTAATGTGTGGGGGCAGGATTTTGGAAGATAATGGTTGGAAAGCCTATTCTTTTTCTTTCAGTGCCCTTGTATAAATCTGTGAGCTGCTGCTTGTGCTCAGACATTACTATGCAAATTGGGTAAAGGAAAAAATGAATTTGTTCTTCTACAAACTACATTCATTAATTTAAGGAGATTAAAGTGTTTTCTTATACTCAAATTTGTTTTCTGAAGAAATGACATATTATGAAGAAACACAAAACAGAACACATGTGTCCTCACCCTACGTTATGTGGAGATAGGAAAAGAGTTCAGCAGGCAGGATCAAGCGTGCTGTGAAGGATGATAGGCAGTTTTTTGCGGGAGGCACTGAGGAATGCTTAGAAGTTTGTTCAAACCAGATACAATATTGCATGTATGGTCCTAAGATCAGTCTATCCACACATCAAGAGTGAGGTATGGATGTGTTTTGTTGGAATTGGATCATCACCGAATACACATTTTTCAGTTTTCCCTTAGTGTCCTGGGTTTTATTTCATTTGTTGTTGTTGTTGTCGTCGTCTTATGGTCACATGTGTGAGTGATTTTAAAAAGAATGTACCATCATCAGCCTGTGAAAGGACTGACCTAAGGGTCTGGCTATCTGTGTGAGACTTGTCTCTTTTGCCAAATAGCTGGACAAGTCACTTACCTTCCCTGGATAAATGACTGTGATATAAGGAGTTTTATTCAGTGATTCCAAATGTCTTCCAGCCCTAATAATTTGTGACTCTGATTTTTGAGGTTCATGTGGAAGCAGTGTGAACTCTTGACACCTTCAATGGGCTGCCAGTTTTTGCCTTAAATGAAGGAGTCTCATCAGCTGCATTTCTATCAGCAGTCTCAGAGAAACACAAATATTTGAACTTTCAGGGCAAAGAGAAACATAATGGCAACAGGTTGTTGCTTCAATCCCACTGGAAATATCTGTATTTTCTTCTGGGTGCATTGCATTCTCATTTTGGTGTTCCTTGGGATTGTGGTCATCTTTTTTTAGCTATCTTCTTTGTTGAGAACTGTTTATTTTTTTTATGTGCCACCTGCCCATTATTTCTCTTTCTCTCCTAAAAAATAGATGAGTTAAACAGAAGTAAATTGTCAAATGCCCCTGAGTTCAGAGCTTTCATGTTCTCTGTGCTGTCTGGTATGGCATGGATCACAAAGACCTTTGGTTACCTTTCATTGTCCAGTTGTGTTTTTTAAGGATTTACTTGGTACATGGCATTGGACTAATAGTAATGTTCTTCAGATTTCTGTTTTCTTTGTAATCTAATAATCTAATTTAATGCTAAGGCAGATTAATATTATGTAATAAATATATACCACCATTATATATCCATAATTAAAGTAAATATTTTTTAAAAGATTATATAGATAATAGGTTAGCAAGAAGAATTTCTCCTAGATTAGAGGGGACAAACAGAGGCTAAGTTAGACATAGCGAGTGAGACATGTTGGCTTAGCAGGCAAAAAGAAATGGATAATGAGGCCGGGCACGGTGGCTCATGCCTGTAATCCCAGCAGTTTGGGAGGCTGAGACAGGCGGATCCCCTGAGGTCAGGAGTTTGAGACCAGCCTGGCCAACATTGTGAAATCCCGTCTCTACTAAAAAAATACAAAAATTAGCTGAGTGTGGCGGCAGGCACCTGTAGCCCCACCTACTCAGGAGGCTGAGGCAGGAGAATTTCTGGAACCTGGAAGGCAGAGGTTGCAGTGAGCCAAGATCGCCCCATTGCCATTGCACTCCAGCCCAGCATTAGAGCAAGACTCCATCTCAGAAAAAAAAAAAAAGGATAATGAGTAGTTTCCTTCATGAGCGCAGAGCATCCAGACAATTCTACTGTTTCTTCTTGATAGTCGTAAAATGCAACAAGAAGCTTAATCTTAGGCACTGTGGCAGTTCATAAGAAGAGCAGCCAGTATGCATTCAAGATATATAAAGTGGAAGATGTTGGGTGAATATTACCTGCTGCCTTGTGAATTGAAAACCCAAACCAATTAACAGGCTGCTAGCTTCCTTCTCTTTCTTTGGGTAAACTTCAGAACTTCCAGGATTTTGACAAATAGAGTTGGGATTTTGCAGGGGCCAATGAGACTGCCATGTTTTGCTACTAACTTGGATGAAATACGTGGAAGTTTAAATTGCTCATCTGTTCCTGCTCCTTTTATCCAGCCTGTACCAGAAGTGACCATTCCCACATTGTTCTAACTCACCCTAGTCAGCACTTGCCAGTTGCCAGCTTTGGTTGTTGTTGTTTTAGAGGTTGCTTTGTTGCCAATGCAAAGTTGATAGTGGATTCTGTAAATCGTTTATGTGGGGTTGACTCCATACTGAGCATAAGCAATTAGTGGGTTATTTAGTCTGAACATGGTTTCTGTGCAGGCTGGGATAATACCCATGCTTCTCTATTAAATTATGGTTAGGTTTTTGTCTCATTTGCCTTAAAGATCAGAGGCATGCATCCTGATGTAGAACTTAGCCAGGAAGTTCTTCTTTGTCTACAAACATTGAAAGGAATTGGCACCCCTGCCTCCTTCTACTCTTCTAAGACCATCCCAAGCAGCTGCAAAAGGCATATTTGATAATGCATGTGCAGGAGGAGAGCAGCACTGATTGCCATGGGAGCCATAAACTGAAGCAGCAAACACAACCGAAAACCATCAAAGATGACTCCTTCGGGCCAGAGCAATTGCAATGAACCTGAAACTTTTCTGCAATTAGTGTGTGAATTCTGATGCAAATAAAAGGTATATTTATTATAAGATGTTACAGACATGGGGCATCTACCGTGGCTTACAGCATGGAGGAGATGCATTGGATGAAGCAGAGACAAATTATAAAGAAAATCCTGCCACGAGTTTGCTGACCTTATTTAGACATTAAAGTTGACATTAGAACAACATTCTATCTTTAACTTAAATAAAGTACATAATGTGAGTTAATTCATCTTTAACTAGCCATAAGTTTATAAAATCTAGAGTCCAAAAGTACCAGGTAATGTGTTGCCAAAGGAAAGTGGGTGGATTCAACCAACAATTGAAATCAGGTTTCATGCCTAGAAGGTGTTTTATCTATACAGATTGGTCCCTTGCTGAATAAAGAATTTTAGTGTCTCTGGTGCCTACCACAGTTAACTTATGCACATACAAAAGCCAAGTTTTGGTAGACTTTAATTGCATTTTCCTTAAAAACATTTGGTGCACCAGAGAAATAATTTTGAGGTCTGGATAAAAATACTCCATAAATATATAATTAAATTTTGCCTTTAAAGACACAGACTCAACTCTAGTTAAAGTCATGAGTACTTGCAGATGGGGAGCCACAAGGATTTGGTTAGGATATACTCAGTGGAAAATAGTAAAGACGAGACTTATATTTTTAGGACAAGTGGGTAAAGGAGGTGGTCTGGGACAAAGCAGTATTTTGTAAGTGAAAAAGACCTTATCGCATTTCAACTTGTATTTTAACTTATGACCCACATTTTGTCTTTCAAATGCTATGTCAATATGCAAAGGCAGAGTAGCAAGAAAGTTTGAGGTGTGGAATAAGACTGTGGCACACAAATAGTGTTTCCTTCTTTACATGTTCAAAAGAGAACAAAGGATTCTAATGGAAATGCTAAATGTTTTGCCACATGAATATATTTAATCCAATAATGAAATGGTTTACTAAATAAGTTTTTAGAAATGTTACATTAAGATGGCTGTACAGAACATAGATTTGGGGATTATAATTTTAAAGAGATTGCATATAGATATCTGACTCAAGAAATTATTTTCTAAAAAATAATTAAAACTTAAAGTGTAATATTTTTCCATAGTATGCAATTAGCAAACTCCAAACAGTGGGGAAAATGTTATGAAATGAATGATCCATTTTTTCTCTGTAAAAATGTTAGAATGGGGTCAGGGAAGAGCCTCTAGATTAAAAGAGATTTAAGAGATGAATCAGCCAATTTTAATATATAGACCTTATTTAGATTCTGATAAAATAAACTGTAAACAAAGTTGCACAGCACTTATACTTTACAAAATGTAAACAATGACAGCATATTCCATAATGTTAAAGAATTCATTTTATTCAGGTGTTATACTGTTTAAAACATAAAATTTCAATTATTTGGAGTACATACTGAAATCTTTACGTATAAAATAAGTTAAAGAATTTGACTCAGAAATTTGGTCTTGGAAATAAAGCCAATGGACAACTCTTAAAATCTAATTTCGAGTATTTTAAGAAATTCCTGTTACAAACAAATGTATTTTTAGGTTTCTTGGTATTTACAAATGATTGCATTCAGGAGAAAATAATCTTTACTACTAAGAGAGTAAAGGGGAAAACCACACAATGCAATTTGTAGAAGAAAAACCATTTTAGTTATTTCTATTGTTATTCGAGGCAAAGTATTCCTGAGTTGACCTATTTTCCCATTTAAGCCTATTTATTATTGCCATCCAGCATTCATTAGATGTTTTTGCTCCTCTGGGAAGAAATACCCTTTAATGCTCGTTTCTAACTACAGGACTATTGTGCAGAGATGCTACCTGGTGTATGTCTGGAAGACAGCAGATTGTGGATCCCAGGTAGATCGTACATATGAGATAACATACTGTGTATATTGCATATGGGTATAGGTTTAACTTTAAACACGTAATTGCTGATGGGTTGAAAGGAGATATCACTTAAAAAAAAAAGAGAGTAATAAATTAAAGGAATCCTAGCAGAATACAGAGACTTTACGGAGAGCAAAAAACAAAAACAAAATGGCAAACAACAATACAAAAATCAAAATAAAGGATGGGAACCAGATGGAAACAGTAAAGGGACAAGAATTCAGCTAGTAGCTTAACTTGTACATTATGAGTCTTGGAACATAAAACAGACTTGGGAAACAGGCAAAAGGACAGAAATGGGATGGAAAAAGGAATTGAAATTGGAGAAGTTGATAGAACTAACCTCATAGTGGGAGGTCAGTAAGTGATCCTTCAGTGGTTGTATATAGATAAACTCCGGATCCATTTTTATTATTTCCTTTGAGTACTTTCTGTTTACAATGCACCCTATCAGGCACTAGGTGTGTAGTGATGGACTAACAGATAATAGGTATCTATACTTCCCTGTGTGTGGTTTGTAGTCTTTAGTTATTATTGCATTCAAGAAGAATAGCTTGAAATTCTGTTGGAAAAATGACAGCTTACTGTGAAGACTAGTCCTAGATGGGATGGAAAGCACACATATTCCTATAATACTTCACAGCTAAGGGAAGCACCACTGACTTCAGGCTGACAGCACCATTTCCTGCATCTGGACGTAACTCCTGTGGTAACTCAGAGTGATCTTAAGCCTGACACAGAAAGTGCAAAATAAACATTTATAAATCCAGAGGGAGACAGACAGAGAATGGATGGGAACACTTGGCTTTTTCTTTTTTCATTGAACTCTTCCTCCTTTTTATCTTTTATTTTCCACTGTGCAGTTTTAATGGTTTCTTGATAAATAATGAGGCACAGGAAGTACAACAGACACCAAACAAAGGCAAGAGAGACACATCTATGAAGATCAGCTGCACATAATGTGTATTTTAAATCAATCAGGCATCTCCATGGATTTGATAACAAATAAAGAAAATGACATATTAGTTCTATGAAGAAAGCAGCCACTTCTAATTGTTTTTACCCCTGGATTCCCAGACCTAGAACATTTTCTGGTACATATTAATAGATATTTATTGAATGAATAATGACAATGACAAAGATCTTCATAGCAGCAAACAAAATGAAACATATGAAGATGATGATCGATTTTGGATTATTATATTCCTTCAGTCTATTTCTTGTCCTTTTTTAGTCTTAATGTTTGCTTCTCTGTGGCCTTATGCCTATTTATGTTCTCAGTCTTATATTATAAACTGGATAAATTCCTTTTTATCAATGATACTATCTAAGGCAGTATTTGATAGATGCATATAATGTGCATTATATATTAGTAGTTAGTGTTCTATGAATGCTTGGGATATTGAATTAAGTTTTTCCTTCCCCCATTAATGATGATTCAAAAATAAACCCAATAAGCATTGCCATTTCTCATTAATTCAAGGACTAGTCATCTAGGTTATCTATTCAGAGGACTATCAAGATTCTGTGCTGCTTTTCCTTTGACTTGCTAGATAGGTGTGTTAGTCCATTTTGCATTGCTATAAAAATATCTGAGGCTGGGTAATTTTTGCAGAAAAGAGATTTATTTGTCTCACGGTTTCACTGGCTATACAAGCATGGCACCAACATCTACTCGGCTTCTGATGAGACCTCAGGAAGCTTCTACTCATGGCCTAAGGTGAAGGAGGTGCAGGCATGTCACATGGAGTAAGAAGGTGCAAGAGAGAGAAGAGGAGTTGCAAGGCTCTTTAAAACAACCAGCTCTCATGTGAGTGAATAGAGGGAGAACTTACTTATCACCAAGCTATTCATAAGGGTTCCACCCCCAGGACCCAAACACCTCCCGCTAGGCCCCACCTCCAACATTTCAACGTGCCATGTGGAGAGGACAAACATCCAAACCATATCAACAGGCTATCCTGGGATCAGTCTGAATTAAATGGCTCTTTAGTATGTAGGCATGAATATTAGTCCATTTTCACACTGCTAGTAAAGGCATACCTGAGACTGGGTAACTTATAAGGGAAAAAGGTTTAATGGACTCACAGTTCCACATGGCTGGGGAGGCCTCAAAATCATGGCAGAAGATGAAGGAAGAGCAAAGTTACATCTTACATGGTGGCAGGCAAGAGCTTGTGCACAGGAACTTCCCTTTATGAAACCACCACATCTGGTGAGAGTTATTCACTATCAGGAGAACAGCATGGGACAGACCCACCCCCATGATTCAGTTACCTCCTACCGGGTCCCTCCCACAACGTGTGGGAATTATGGGAGCTACAATTCAAGATAAAAGTTGGGTAGGGGCACAGCCAAACCATATCAGCATGTAATATACTGGTATCTATAATTTTATGAAAAAGTAGAATAAAATTATAGGTAAACAAGAAGTGAAATGATTCCCTATAACATTTTGGATGACTGTTTTGAAGGCTGTCATCTGTTCACTTGTGTCTCACAAACCCAAAGCATCTTAGTTTATCCCTGCATTTACTTTTTGCTTTCTCCCTCTGTGTATGCCCTGGGAGGGTAGTAATGGATGATAGAGTCAGATCCATGAGTGAGTGGTAGTTCGTCAGGATAACTGGGGTAGAATATGATTATCCATTTGGCATCAAATTTGCATCTTCCTTACCCAGGATCCCACATAAGCACTGGATAGAAGCATACTCATGTCAGATGAATGCCCAGAAGGCTAGCATCTTGTGGCAAAAGTTTCATAGTCAGAGTTGATTCTCAAATGTGCTTGTTCAGAGCACTTGACTTTTAGTTCATTATTTAACTCAATTGTAAGTTTATCTCCAAATAAGGGTAATAATATCAAACTTATATACATGTGAGAATTAAATTAGCTAATGGATTTTAATGCCTAGTACAATGCCTGGCTATTAATAGGGCACAACAGATGCTAACTAATATTATTTTCTTCAATAGAAATATAATTAAATATTTTGTTATAATGAAATGATTCATTATGTTGATTATCCTTTGGTCTTCTCAGGTTTTTTTTTTTCTTTTTAAGTTAACAATGGAATCTGCCTTCTTTGAAATCTCATAACACGCAGATGTAATGTTCTTTATCATTGGCCTGGAAGATGTTCTCTTAAATGATTAATGTCATTTAAGGGAAGTTAGAAATGACCTATCCTCACCTGTGGACTCTGCAGGTGAGATTATGGTAAAGCAGTGAGGCTGAGTGGCACATGGTCTGAAGTACCAGTTAGTGACAGCTTTGGCGACTGCTCAAGTGTCTACTACTGTGTCCAGTTCTCTTTCCAGAGAAACTGTAGCATTTTTAAATCAAGTCCTGATTGGACTATGAGGTAGACAGTTGACCCAAGGTATACTCATATGCTTGTCATTCCTGTTAAAACGGATTTATGACTCACAAATGTTACAACCTGAGGTTGATGTTAGAACTCAGAGGGTATGTTGCAGGAAGGGGTGGTATCATGCACCCAAACACACATAGCAGCAGAGAAAACCAGCCAACACAGGGAATAGTATGGAAGATCAGCCTGTCATTGTCCAGTAAACTCCCCCCATTTTGCCTCTGCTAGTTGTAGTGGATTTCTTCTACTCATAACCAAAAGACCCTTGACAAGGACTAAATTAATAATTATTTTTGCACCACCAAATAAGTATTTAACTGAGAATTTATACCTTATTAATAGACATTAATTAATGCAACTTGGAATTCGATTTCACAAATGTGTTGGCACCTTAGACATACTCTTGTCTTTCGTAAAATAAAGCCATTTGCTAATAGCTCTGTTCAATGCATAAAACATTACTTAAGCTAACACAGAGCTTCTGAAATGGAAGTATGAAGAGAAAGGCTCCTTAATTTTCTAATTGCTCTTTCCTGCTATTGAAATTAGCCAGCATTTGATCTTTAATAGGAACAATTATAAAGAGAAACATTTGCCAGAAAATTTAAAGGTTAGTCACTATGGCATGACTAATGTCTATAGGAAAAAATAATCAGCAAATTGCTCCATTGTTACAATGAGAGTAATACATTTTCTCAATGAATACCTGGAATATTTAACTCCTCACTCTTCTCAGTGGATCTGTAGCCATGTCTGGTACAAAGTAGGAATTTGACACAGTTTCCTCCTTTTGCCTGCAAAAAATGACAAGACTTCATCTTTCATTTACAACATTTTGCTTTTAACAAAGGCAAGTTTTTACTTTGACAATAAATTTTCATATTCCAGTAACTTTTTCTCATTAGCTGGTAGGCGAGGAAAAGGATCTGGAAGTAATGCAATAACATTAAAATTGCATCCTCCACCGGCACCAAATGTGTCCCCTGGGAGCTGAGGGTGGGAGAACTCTTCACTGCCATTTATCAGTGACCCTTAGCTTAGTCCCTGCCAGCATTAGGTTCTTTTCCAAAACATTTGCATGTATATGGGGGAATGGAAGAAGTGGTCTTAAAATAATTACCTTTTTCATTTGGAAAGCTTGAGGAAATTAAGATTTTACTCTAGCATCACTCATGTTTCTTAAATAAGATGGTTAACTTTTCAGGTTGAAGAATCAATTTCCTAAAGCTAAACACCCAGTCAGCTGTATGGCTGGCTTATAGCATTCTCACGATGGCCACATAATAGAAAAACATCTGATGTATAGTCAGTGTTTCGCAAGCCAAAGCACACATCTGTGCTCCCAGGATGTCCCGATGCAGATGCTGTCCTTTTCCAGCCAAGTAGTGTGTTCTGCCACTTGTTATAATAAAGCCCTTTGAGAGGCAGTATGAACTCGACTGGCTAGCCATATTCATCTCCAACAGCTAGTAATGACTAGCTGATTTTTACAAATTGCATATTTGAATTTTGCACATGCTTTGCTCTTTGAAAAGGCAACCTTCCCAAATAAAGAAAGAGAAGGCCATTTGTTCAGCTGCAGTGTTTGGTACCTTATTGTAACAATTCTGTTCCCTGATAAAACATAGAGCCAAATCTGAAAATGTGCAAATAACTGGTTCTACCCAGGCCACTTATCTGTAGAAACCTGATAATTTGATTTTTGAATAAGCTCTCCAGGTGTTCTTAAGCAAAGTGAAGTTTGAGAATCATTGATTTAGAGGACTTCAGCATAAAGTTCTCTGCTAGTAAAACTGGTTTATTAAACCTCTTGGATTTTCCTGTGATGTGGCTGCTCTGCTGGGCCTTTAGTAAGTCTACCTAGCTTTGGAGTGATTTATGAAGATGTCTTTTGTGGCTACCCACATCCTCCAAAATGTCTTTACCTCCACTCTCCTGGCTTTTTTCAGTTAGTCCTAACATGTGCCGGAGAAAATAATATCATTCACTGTGCAACTTCCAACCCTCAAATACATATAAATAAGAGTCCCCATTTTTAGCTTAGGAGGAGGAATGCTTATACCAGCTTACACATATTTATTCATGTCTATCTGTCCTGTCTTTAACAGAATTGCTGAACATCTATAAAAAACAAATAACATCTTTGGGAAAAGTAAGACATCTGACATGCTCAAAGGAGGTTATAAAGATCTGAGTGTGGTGATACAAGTAGGTGTGCTATCAAGCACTGGGTTTGGCACTGAGGTGATTCTAATGTGAGCAGAGTAATGTGAGCAGAGTGTGGTACTCGGAGACCTTGATATTTTGAACTTGGACTCTGGTGCAGGAGTGGAAGGGTTGCACTTGAACCCACACACCATGGCATGTGCATCATAAACATTCATTGACGTCTGGGAGATAAGGGGGCTAGTATAAGGGAGGAACAACTTGGTGTCATTTGTTAGGGAGAAGACTGTGCCTCCAGAAGACTGGAGGATAGAGAGCCAATTTACAGCAGTAGAGCTCTCTCTCTCTCTTTCTTTTTCTCTCTCTTTTAAGTTCTATTATCCTGTTTTTCTGTTTGAATGTTAATCTGAGTTAGCAGTTTCCCCTAACTGAAAGTGAGATGGCAGTTGTAACAGAGGATGGAATGAACACCAGACTGAATGCTTTCTAGTCGGTGTGGTTGAACTCTTCTCAGCTTGGAAATTCAGAGCAAGGAGTAAATCTATGTGGATTGAGGCTTTTCCTTCAGGATCTGCAATAGTTTGCCCCCTACTTCTTCTGATTTTAGACAAGTCTTCATCAAACTCTCCAGACAGAAAGTACTCCATTTTTATCCTAAGACAAAATAAACAAACAGCAAACCTCTAATGAAAACATACAGAACCTGTTGGTTATAAATTACTTTTAAAAATTTTATTACAATGCCATATACACTCACTCACTGTAAAACATTAGAAAACATATCATATAGGAAGAATAGCAGAAAATTTATCTTCACCACTTTTAACTTTTTAAATTTAATGTTGAATCCCTTGTGTTTTTTTTCCTGATATACACACTATGCATGCACATTCATATCCACCACATTCACCGTATTCACCTCTTTTCACGTTCACACACAGCTTTCATACTTGCATATATTTAAATTTAACTCCATATTCTATACGTCTTTCGCTTTCATTTAATACTCATTTTTAGCATTATGCAAATGGCTGAGAATGCCTCATTACATATGAATGTAACACAATTGCTATAAGCAGTTCTCTATCTTTGGACATTAGGTTATTTCTAGTTTAGTTTGAGTATGACAATATATATGCATGTAACCACATATATCTCAAAGTATTAAAATTTCCAGTCAGAAGATCAAAACAATCCTTTTGAGACAAAGGTATAAGTTATAGTTTGGCTGATGGGCTTTAAATTCTGGCACTTGCAATGGTTAAAGTCTCATAAAACTGGGCGGAGTCTTAAAGAAGACAGTCCTAGGCTTTTGGCGGATGAAAAAATTTGTACTGCTCTTTAAGCAGAGGGAATTATTCCAGTCTGCAAAGTGAACTAAATAAATAAGAGGCCAGGCAGATTAATGGTTTGCAGACAGAAAGGTTCGGGGAAGATCTGGCCTTACCGTGGTTGATGTTCTCCAAGTGGAAAATGATAACATGGCTGGCAAGTGCTTAACAATCTTTAAAAAATGGCCTTCCTCTTTCCTGGGAGTAAAACTTTCTAAATGCCCTTATTTTAAAATTACTGTATCAAATCATGTTATTTTTATTTGGAATCTTTTAAAAGCTATGAAAAGATACATTTAATAAAACTTCTTTAGCGAAATCATAATCAGCATTTCTCACCAAAGAACAATTGTGGGAGGGAGGATTCTTTTCAGAAACACAAAGAACAATGCCAAGTTTCTGATTTTCAGAGGAATTGCTGAAATAAGGCACAGAAATGAACTAGGGAAAAAAACAAGTTATGAAAAATTTTCAAGTTTTTCTCAAAAGAAAGTATATGGAAAAGTCCACTTAGCAAAAGATTAGGTTTGTATTTTTTAAGAAATGTATGTTGGGATTGCAAAACTGTCCATTTTATTTATATTATGATTCTTGATATTTTAAATATTTTATTTAACTGTGGGGGCTATGATCAATTGATTAAAATAAAGCCCTAGCTTTTGCAAGTTTCATGCCATGGAAAAGTCAATACAGCCTCAATTTTACAATTTAATAACTAACCTGCACAATGTGCACATGTACCCTAAAACTTAAAGTATAATAAAAAAAAAAGAAACTTAAAAAAAAAAAAAAGAAATAGAAAAGAAAATACTTTCACTACCTTTCTGACATACAAACATTCCTGGATGTCTTTCCCCTTCTCATTAGTAAAAATTCCATAAGTATTAAAACCTTATACATTCTTTTATTTAAAAGGCATTGTATCATGCTATTTTTTATTTTGGAATCTTTTAAGAGTGATGAAAAGATATATTTAATGAAACCTCTAAAGATATCATAGTACTTTAAACCAGAGAACAACTTAGCATAATATTATGCTAAATAGGACTACACTTATATATGTAGGTGGCTTCTCCAACAATTTAGAAGTGAGGGAAATAAAGTTACCTCCTATGAATTATATTTCCTTAATTAAGACCAGCTTGAATGTATTTAATCTTTAGTAATAATAAATAATTTAAAAGCAGAATGGTTAATATAGCATAGAAGTCAAAGGAATAAACCATGAAAGTGTGTATGTCTAGCTGTCTTCAGAAAGATGCTGAGTGGGAGCTATACGAATATGCCTGTTCCTCAGAGAGGAGATCTGAACTGTGTTAGGGATGCATTATTCTTCTGGGCTTGACACTTAGAAATAGGAAATGACCAACTGGTTAATAAATAAGAAGTGTTACAGCGTACCACCTACATTTTCCTTACCTCTGAAACAGAACCACTAGTAAGTAACTTCTACTTTCCTTGTCTTGGAGTATTTTTCACCCTTTCCTGGTTGAAATATAGTATCTATATAATTCTGCTTCTAACATGGTCATGGAGATGCCTAAGTGCTAGAATGTCTCTGTATCCGACTCTCTAAGGGAGGCCAATGAAAATCCTAAGGTTCCAAGAGTTCATTAGGATGGGATGGATGGCAAAGACCAGTGGTTTCAGCGATAAGCTGATGTAGCCCAATTCTCCAGAAAATGCAATCTAGTGATGACTGCATTTTGATTAGAGGGGGCTTCCTATTGGAGAGGGCAGTGTAATGCTTGAGACCCATGTTAAATCAAAAGGTGGCTTTTTGAACAGCCTGTTTCACATGTGACTCAATGGTCTCAAGATACTGCCAGTCTATCTGTTTTCTTTGACATGATCTAGGATTCTGAAAGTCCAAGGATATACAAAAGTGGGGTACTGAAAATGTTACCAGTATGTGGTAGCAAATTCAGACAACATTCAGGATAAATTAGTCTGTTCCCTCCTATTGTTGATCTCTTTATCTTTTTATCCTATATTGTAGGTTCTTTATCTTCTCACTTTTGAAAAATTTTTAAACTTTCATCTATTATATTTATTTTTCCCATACTGTTTAACTATTTTTGTAAATGGTACCATGGTTTTATTTCATGAATTCAATATTTTTCATTATTTTTCTAAGGATAATAATTTTAGTTTTTAAGTTTTTCTGCCCCGTGCATTTTCTCTCTTATTTTGAGTTACTGTGTATGAATGGTGGTGTCTTTTTCTGAGTTTTGGTCTTCTTTTTGGAGTTAGAATGATTTCTTTTTTTCTTTTTTTTTTTGGTGGGGGGTGGGGATGGAGTCTTACTATGTTTTCCAGGCTAGAGTGCAATGGCGCGATCTCGGCTCACTGCAACCTCCACCTCCCAGGTTCAAGCAATTCTTGTCTCAGCCTACTAAGTAGCTGGGGCTACAGGTGCATGCCACCACACCTGCTTAATTTTTGTATTTTTAGTAGAGATGGAGTTTCACCAGGTTGGCCAGGCAGGTCTTGAACTCTTGACCTCAGGTGATCCACCCACCTCGGCCTCCCAAAATACTGGGATTACATGTAAGAGCCACTGTGCCTGCCCAGGAGTTAGAATGATTTCTTTTCTTTTCTTTTTCTTTTTTTTTTTTTTGTGCCACGGTCTCCCTCTTTCACCCAGGCTGGACAGCAGTGGCGCGATCTCGGCTCACTGCAAGCTCCTTCTCCCGGGTTCACGCCATTCTCCTGCCTCAGCCTCTTGAGTAGCTGGGACTACAGGTGCCCGCCACCACGCCCGGCTAATTTTTTGTATTTTTAGTAGAGACGGGTTTTCACTGTGTTAGCCAGAATGGTCTCGATCTCCTGACCTCGTGATCTGCCCGCCTCGGCCTCCCAAAGTGCTGGGATTACAGGTGTGAGCCACCGTGCCCGGCCTAGAATGATTTCTGACTGCCTCCAAAGTAAGGCAGTAAAGCATTGTGTCTGCTAGACCAGCTATAATATTGAGGTATCCCCAAATCTATCATTTTCTTTTTCTTTAGAGAAGATTCTTCAATCTTCTGCCTTGATGGGCGGAGCATAGCCAGTCAGGATGGGTGAAGAGGTCTCACTCTTAGGCATGAGTGCTGCACCTCACCACTTACCCTCTGTGCCTGTTTCTGAGCCAAGACCGTTCTGGTATGATTTCTGCAGGGTATAAACCTCTCACTTCTTGCAGGGGTATAGAAGGAGTAGTCACCATGGTTCAACAGGGTGAAAGAGGGACTAGTTCCTCTGATAGCTCTATGTCTAAAGTGTCAGCCTCATATGTTTTAGCTGTCTTCGGTCTCTCATTTCTTACTCTCCTTGGCATCACAATTTCTGGCTGCAGCCCTTAGCCTTTCCTGGGTTCTGGGAGGTGAATCAGCTTGTTTCTTTTATGGTACTTTTTGTATTCAGATGCTAGTTTTCCACTTTCTCCACTCTCGTAGGTTGCTTACCATTCCCCTATCTGCTTTTCAGTTTCAAATATGGATTGCTAGTACCCATCACTATGTCCGCTCCTACCCTCTTTGTTCTTGAGTGTTTACTACTTTTCTTTCTTTAGTCTCTTTCTCGAGTCATGTCAAGATATTTGTAGCCCAATTCATGTTTGTCCATATGCCCAGGTTTAACTTCCATTGGAGTGTGCATTACAACAGAAAGGAAAGCTTATAACAGGCTTGGACAGGGTTTCCTGGGCCACTCCTTTCTTTGGTGAAGCTGTTTCCTCAGATCTTAACACCAGAAGTAGCCTATTACTTCCATGCCTTCATATCACAATGCAGACTCTGGTCCCAGAAAAAAGGAGGGCTGTGTTTCCTTCCCCCACAGTCTCATTTCCTGTCCTGGTATTACTTGCACTCCACAGGAGGACATGATCCAGCATTGTGGTCCCAAAGTTAAACAGTTGTCTGACTGCTTCACCACACTTCCTGGATTCTGAGTGATTTAGGATTAAGTTACATCACATGTGACATTAGCAGCCCTGGATATATTGCTCCAAGCTCCTTCAATTTGTTTTCAGCCTCTTCTTGGCAGTAGTTTAGAAATCTTGTGGTCCAGGCTAAAGCTGGTTCTCCCTCGTTAAAGACAATCAGAGACAATGTGTAGGAATGATGATCAATGGAATAGAACTAGCGCCTAGTACTTGTAGAGCAGTTACAACCATTTCAGCTCAGGGAACTGAGAAAAGCAGTCTTTTTCTTTCTTCCTTCCCTTCTCCTCCTCCTCCTCTTCCCTCCCTCTCCTGCTTCTCTTCCCTCTCTCCCTCCCCATCCTCCTCCTCTTTTCTTCTTTACTGACCATGAGGAACAAAGAGGTCCCGGCCTTCCCTTGGAGGAATCCTGCTCTGTTACAATTCTGAAAGCCAGGAAGATCTCCATTACCTCCAACCTAAATTGCCTCTGACTTAATTCAATGCTATTTTATTGCATTCAGTTCACCATGGAAAGGGAAAATATAGTAAGTTTCAATTCCATAGAAATCCTTCATACACTTGAAGATGATCCTTAAGCCACTCCAGGTTTTCTTTCTGTAGCCTAAGCAGCCCTGACAAAAATCTTTCAGAAATGATTTTTAGGTTGTGTTGGAGGAGTGATATTTCTCTCAATAAAATGTGATCTCGATGCTTCCAGAATTCTTTCATCTCTGTTGCTTTTCTGGCCATGTGATTTTTTTTTTTCTAACTAGGCATGTATTTCAATCCTACTTTATAAACCTCATTTACAATGTTTAGCACTTACATACTCAAAACATATGGGCCTTAAAAAATATACAACTTTACTCTAAATTAAAGCAGACACCACAGCAATTCAAAAGTGATCACTGACTGACTTTGGTCTTATGAAAACAAACCTTGGTCTCTCAGGCTGAGTTTCTTCTTTCAGAGGGTCACAATTGAGACTGTGTATAGAAGAGTGTTTTTGTGCAGACACTGCTTGAAAGCAGTTAGCATTAAGTGTGCCTGTGTGGTTAGTGCAAGCTAAACAAAGAAACTGTAGAAGCACAGCTTTAATCAAGTCCAGTTGAGAACAAAGTCTTAGGGATTGTGTCTGGGATAAGAAGAATTATACTGAAAA
Source organism: Homo sapiens (assembly GCF_000001405.40). Classification (NCBI taxonomy): domain Eukaryota; kingdom Metazoa; phylum Chordata; class Mammalia; order Primates; family Hominidae; genus Homo; species Homo sapiens. Next base: position 76,455,006 of record NC_000013.11, on the reverse strand, counting down.
GCAGTTTTCTGCAAGCTTCTCTAACAACATACATGTATCTCACAGTTTCTGTCTTCAGTGAGAAAATACGCCATAAAATGACTAATACCTGCCCATGGTATTTCTTCTTTATTTTTAATTTTTGTGGGCCCATAATAGTTATACATATTTATAGTGTACATGTGATATTTTGATACAAGTGTATGATATATAATAATCAAATCTGAGTAATTGGGATATCATTCACCATAAACATTTATTATTTCTTTGTGTTGGGAACATCATAACTCTTCTCTTCCTAGCTATTTGGAAATATACAAAAAATTATTATTAACTATAGTCTACAAAAAATTATTGTTAACTATTGTGCTACTGAACACTAGAGTTTTATTCATTCTATCTAACTGGCTTTTGTACCCACTAACCAACCTGTCTTCAATCCTTGCCGCCACAAACCTTCCCAGCCTCTGGTAACCATCATTCTGTTCACTACCTCCATAAGATCAATTTTTTAATCTCCCACATATGAGTGGAAAACATGAAATATTTATCTTTCTGTGCTTGACTTATTTCAGTTAATGTAATGTCCACCAGTTCCATTCATGTTGCTGCAAATGACAGGATTTCATTTTTCTTTAGGGCTGAATAATATTCCATTGTGTAAATATACTACATTTTCCTTATTAATTTGTTGATGAAGACTTAGGTGGATTCCATATTTTGGCTATTGTGAATAGTGCTGCAATAAACATGAGAGTGCAGATATCTCTTTGATATACTGATTTCCCTTTTTTTTTTTTTTTGGCTGTACGTACAGCACAGTGGGATTTTTGGATCATATGGTAATTCTATTTTTAGCTTTTTGAAGAACCTCCATTCTCTCTTCCTTAGTGCCTATGCTAATTTAAATTCTCATCAACAGTCCATGAGTATTTCCTTTTCTCCACATCTTCACTAGCGTAGGGAATTTTCTGTCTTTTTGATAATAGCTATTTTAGCTGAGTAAGATGATAGCACATTGTAAGTTGATTTGCATTTCCCTGATAATTAGTGATATTGATCATTTAAAGAATATACCTGTTGGCCATTTGTATGTATTCTTTTGAGAAAAGTCTATTAAGATCTTTTGCCTTTTTTAAATGAGATTTTTTTTCTTTTTCTTTTTTCTTTTTTTTGCTATTGAGTTGTTTGAGTTTCTTATGTGTTCTGGTTATTAATCCCTTGTTGAATAGTTTGCAAATATTTTCTCCCATTATGTGAATTGTCTCTTCACTTTGTTGATTGTATTTTTTGCTGTGCAGAAACTTTTTACCTTGATGTAATCCCATTTGTCAATTTTTGCTTTGGTTGCCTATGCTTTTGGGGTCTAACTCAAAAAAATCTTTGCCCAGACCAATGTTCTGAAGCATTGCTCTAATTTTTTTCTTCTAATAGTTTCATAATTTCAGTTGTTAGGTTTAAGTCTTTCATCAATTTTGGTTTTATTTTTCTACGTGGTGAGAGATAGTAGTCTAGTTTCATTCTTATGCATGTAGATATACAGTTTTCCCAGAACAATTTATTGAAGAGACTTTTTCCTCATATAGATTATTGATGCCTTTATTGAAAATGAGTTGGCTGTAAATATGTGGATTTATTTCTGAGTTCCCTATTCTGTTCCATTGGTCTATATTTCTGCTTTTGTGCCAGCACCATGCTGTTTTGGTTACTATAGCTTTGTAGTATATTTTGTAGTGTAGTAGTATGATGCTCTTGTTTTTGCTAAAAATAGCTTTCATTATTCTGGGTATTTTGTATATTCATACAAATTTTAGGATTGTTTTTTCTATTTCTGTGAACAGTGCCATTGGTATTTTGAAAAGGTTTGCATTTTATCTATAGAATGCTTTGCTTAGTAAGATCATTTTCAAAACATTAATTCCTCCAAAACATAAACATGAAATGTCTTTCCCTTTTTGAGTACTCTTCAATTTCTTTTATCAGTGTTTTACAGTTTTTATTGTAGAGATCTTCCATGTCTTTGGTTAAGTTTATTTCTAGATGTTTTATTTTTATAGCTCTTGTTAATGGATTGCTTTCTTGATTTCTTTTGTAGATTGTTTGCTGTTGGCATACAACATGCTACTGATTTTTGTATGCTAATTTTTGTATCCTGCAATTTTACTGAATTTCTTTATTAGTTCTAACAGTTTTCTGGCAGAGTCTTTAGGTTTTTCTAAGCATAAGATTATGTTGTATGCAAACAAAGAAAATTTGAGTTCTTACTTTCCCTTTGGATGCCCTTTATTGATTTTCTTGCCTAATTTCTCTGACTAGGACTTCTAGTACTATGCTGAATAAAAGTGGCAAAGTAGGTATTCTTATCTTTTTCCAGATCTTAGAGGGAAGACTTTTAATTTTTCCCCCATTGAGTATAATGATAGCTGTGGGTTTATTGTATATGGGCTTTATTATTTGAGATATGTTCCTCCTATAACCAGTTTTTTGAGAGTTTTTATCATGAAGGAATATTGAATTTTATTGAATGCTTTTTTGGCATCTATTGAAGTGATCATATAATTTTTATCTTTGATTCTGTTAATGTGATGTATCACATTTATTGATTCATGTATGTTGAACCATCCTTGCATGCCTAGGATAAATCCCACTTGATCATGATAAATTCTTCTGCAGCACAACAGATGTGTTTTGGAATTCAATTTCCCAGTATTTTGTTGAGAATTTTTATATCTATGTTTATCAGTGATATGGGCCTGTAGTTTTGTTGTTGTTGTTGTTGTTTTGTTTTTGTCTGATTTTGGCATCAGGGCAAGCCTGGCCTCATAGAATGAGTTTGGAAGTATTTCCTCTTCCTCAGCGTTTTAGAATAGTTTGAGTAGAATTGTTACTATTTCTTCTCTAAATGTCGGGTAGAATTCAGCAGCGAAGCCATCAAGTCTTCAGTTTTTCTTTGATGAGAGACTTTTTATTATTGCTTTCATCTTGTTACTGGTTAGTCACATGTTTGGGTTCTTTATTTCATCATGGTAAAATCTTAGTAGGTTTTATGCCTCTAGGAATTTTTTCCTTTTGTCTAGGCTTTCCAATTAATTGGAATATAATTGCTGATAATAGTCTCTAATGATCCTTTGAGTTTCTGTAGTAATGTTTCCTTTTTCATCTCTGATTTTATTTATTTGAGCCTCTCTTTTTTTCTTATTTATTTGAGCCTCTCTTTTTTTCTTAGTCTGTCTAAAGGTTTGTCAATTTTGTTTATCTTTTCAAAAAAATCCAACTTTTTGTCTTGTTGATCTTTTGTATTTTTCTATAGTCTCAATTTTATTTATTTCTGGCTGATTTTTTAAATTTATTTTCTTATACTAATTTTGAGTTTGCTTTGTTCTTGCTTTTCTAGTTCTGTCATTGGGTTGTTTGTTTGAAGTCTTCCTACTTTTTTAATGAAGGCATATGCTGCCGTAAACTTCCCTGTAATAACTGCTTTATCTGTGTCCCATAGGTTTTGGTATGTTGTGTTTCCATTTTCATTAGTTTCAAGACATTTTTATATTGCCTTCTTAATTTCTTTATTTGACCACTTGTTCATTCAGGAGCACGTTGTTTTATTTCTGTGTATTTGTATAGTTTCCAAAGTTCCTCTTGTTATTGATTTCTAGTTTTATTGCATTGTGGTCAGAAAAGATAGTTGCTATAATTTTGAGTTTTTAAATTTGTTAAGACTTGCTTTGTGGTCTAATACATATGATCTATCCTTGAGAACCTTCCCTGTGTTGATGAGGAGAATGAGTATTCTGCAGCATTTGAGTGAAATGTTTGTACATGGTATTTTGACATGATTGACCTTCACATTTCAGATATGCACTCTTAACTGGGAACCAATATCATATAAAAAGGTATACTACATGTATTAGTCTGTTTTCATGTTGCTGATAAAGACATACCTGAGACTGGATAATTTATAAAGAAAAAGAGGTTTAATGGATTCACAGTTCGATGTGGCTGGGGAAGACTCACAATCATGGTGGAAGGTGAAAGGCATGTCTCACATGGCAGAAGGCAAGAGAATGAGAGCCAAGTTAAAGGTGTTTCCCCTTATAAAACCATCAGATCTTGTGAGACTTATTCACTACCATGAGAACAGCATGGGGGGAACTGCCCCCGTGATTCACTTATCTCCCACTGGGTGCCTCCCATGACACAAGGGAATTACGAGAGCTAAAACTGAAGATGAGATTTGCGTGAGGACACAGCCAAATCATATCACCTCATAATAATTATTTAGTAGGTGTTAAGTCCTGAAAACAGAACCAGATATTTAATTATGTCTGAAATATGGGAAGCTATTTATTTCATGATCCTTGTAATGGACATTGTCTACTTTTATGTGTTCGGAATCTATATATTATATCCATATCTATTATCTGTATCTATATCATCTATATCTGTGAAAACTCTTTTTACTAAGAAAAACTATTCCACGGGATTTGGATGGAGTGACTTCCTCTCCCACTCCCATGCCTGACCACTATAAAGGGTTAGACGCATGATACAGGACTTGTATAGCTGAATACTATATTCCCTTAGCCCCAGTGACTGCTTCATGAGCAGACATGTGTTACAAGCAGTGGTAATTTTAGGATTTTTTTTGACCAGTCCCAAATAAAGAAAGATGGACATCTGGGGTATTAAAAATCCCTGATATACAAAGAAGCAAGAACTCCTGTGTCAATAAATTCTACCCTCTAACTGACATTTTTTGTTTTTCTTTTTTGTTTGGCTTGGCCAGTTTGTTTTGAATTTCTTGGCAATTAAAAGTCCCAATTAATAGGATCCACTGGAAACATCACATACAAGGGCAATGAAATCTGAATTTGCAAGTGATTTGCCTAAGTCAACACACACCTGGTTAGCAGGGGACCTATGTTTGACATTGAGCTCTCTTAATATTTGTTCTCTGAGCTCATATTTCCTGGGTACCTGCAATGTATCAGACTCTAGTGGCACAGTGGTAAGCCTCTCCTCATGAAGCTTATGGTTGATTTCTCTTTACTTCTCCATATCAGTCTGAGAAATGTTTTGATGAGGCTGTGTATTTCTAAACAATTTAGTCTCCAAGACAGTATTCCCAAAAGTACTATTTTGTTATAATAAATTTAACTGCAAAGGATATAGTGAAAGGTTTTCCATGGAAGCATAAATATTAAATTTAAATCTTAAAACTTTTTAAACCTTTAATTTTGTAGCTAAAATAAGAAGTAGGAAAATTAAGCCACTCTCCTATATTCATAGTCTCTTCAGTTTATTAGAGTTTTTTTGTTTGTTGCTTAGTTCATTATGAAGACTGCATACAAGAAATAATAAATATTTTTTCTTAACCATATTCATATAATAGATGCAATATATCTTTTGTTACAAACATAATTGTTAGAATCTTACCTTAAATATCAAGTGCTATATAAATACTATTAGTGGGATGATTACTATGAAAATTGCCAGCTGTTTGTATTGTGGTAAGTGATATAAGAGACGTAAGATTCTTCCGATTCTTTCACTGTGCCTCAGTGTTTCAATGACTCTTCATCTCTTGCCTAATTCAAATGCCCCCAAACGTTTAATCTCCAAACTTCCCATCAAGGCAGAGAAACCAAGAAGTTCTAAAGGTATACCTAACCTTTAGGTATACCTAAAGGTTATACCTAAAGAAGTCTGAGGTATACCTAACCTTTTTATCTATTTGATTCAAATGTTTATTTTCACATACCAATTTATTAGGCAAAGGGGGCAAATAGATAACGTGCAGAACTTTAATTATTAAGATAGATCTATTTATTCTTAAATAAGCACGTGATGTTTTTGGTTTTTTGCTTTAAATATGTGCAGTTTATTTTATGTTGATTAAATGAAATAAAACTGTTTACAAAACCAAAATGTATGAGATAGATCTAAATAAGCCAATTCCCACTCATAGGAAATATGTCCACAATGTATTGAGTGGGGAAAAATATATAAAGCAATAGCCATATCTTTTGTTAAATACACGTAAGTGGAAAATATTAACTTTGTGGGAATACAAGGAGCTTTCACTTTTAAGTTTAAATGCTACAATAATCTACAATGAGCATAGCCAAGATAACTCCCAATGATTCCTACTTCCTGGGATTTACTTTCTTTGCCATTCCCTCCCACATTGTATCAGGATTTGTCTGTGACCTGCAGAATGTGGCAGAAGTGAGGATATGACACTTATGAGACACATCTTGAAAAGAATCTTTTCTTCCTTTTTATTTCTTGTTTGGATTGTTTGCTCTGGAGGATACAAAAGTGGCTTTATGGCAAGGTACACATGGAGGACTGAAGCCTCCTGCCAATAGCCATGAAAGCGAGCAATCTTCGAAGAGGATCCTCCAGCCACAGCCCAACATTCAGATGACAGCAGCCCTGTGTGACATTTGACTGCAACCTCATAAGGAACCCAGAGAACTATCCATTTGAGCCATACCCAGATTCCAGATTCTCAGAAACTGTGTGTAGTAATAAATATTTGTTGTTTGAAGACATTAAGATTTGGGGAAACTTGTTACTTAGAAATAATTAATACAACTTATATCACTTTTCTATTATATGTGTGATTATATATATTCATACACACATACACATATATAAAACAGATGTATTGGGGTATAATTGACATATAAAATATATATTTAAATTATATACTTTCTCAATTGTGTGTATGATATAAATGGTGTATATATGTGTATATATATACACACGCACACACACACAAACATGTATATATCCATAAGTCATCACTAAAATCAAGATAACAAACACACCCATCATGCCCCCCCAAATTTCCTTGTGCCCTGCAGTTATCCTTCCTTCTTGACCTGCTATATTCCTATCATAAGGTAACCACTATCTGCTTTCTTTTACTATAGATTATTTTGCATTTTCTAGGATTATGTGTAAGCAGAATCACACAGTATGTACTTACTTGGTTTGGCTGCATTCACTCAATCTCAATGAATTATTTTGAGATGCATTCACATTAGTCCATCCACATAGAAATAGTTCATTCCATTTTATTGGTGAGTAGTAATTCATTTTATATACAGTATTGGATATCCCACAATTTGTACATTCACCTGTTTATGGGCATTTGGATTCTTTAAAGTTTTGGACTATTACAAACAAAGCTTCTATGAATTTTGTGCACAAATCTTTACTGAATATTTGCTTTCTTTTCTCTTCGGTAAATGCCTGGCAAAGGAAATAATATCATCGGTGTATATTTAACTTTCTAAGAAACTGCCAACTGTTTTCCAAAGTGTGTCATTTTACATTCCTGGAGAGTTTCAATTTTTTCACATCCTTGGCCACATTTGGTATAGTAATATTGTTAAATTTCAGTTATCCTAATAGATGTGTAGTTGTATCCGATTATAATTTTAATATGCACTTTTAATGACTAATGAGGTTGAAAATCTTTTCATGTACTTAATTGCTATCCATATTTTTCACGAAGTGTCTACTAAGTCTTTTGCATAATTTTTATTGTGTTTTAAAAATTTTATATTCTTTATGTGTTTTTTATCAGAGACACGGTTTGCAAATTTTTGTAACTTGCCCTTTGAATCATTTAATAGTGTCTTCCTCAAGCAGAAGTTTTACATTTTTGTGAAGTTCAGCTTATCAATTTTTTAATACGATAATTATTTGCTTTTCTGAGAAAAACTTCCAAATAAAGATCGGCTCTTTTATTTGAAAATAAGTGTTTTTAATAATAAAAGTTATAAAGGAAAATGCAGAAATCACCTACAAAAATTAAAATCAGCCATAATATCACTGGCCAGAGATAATCAGTGGTTTTCTAGCCCACAATTTATCCCACTACCTCTTTAATAATGGAATCCAAATATGTTCTTTTGAAATCTGCTTAACATATCATTACATCACAAATGAGTTTCAATATTAATATATTCTATAATGTAATTTTTAATAAAGCCATAGTTGTATCCATAAAATTCAGAAACATACAGAATGCATTCTTGCATATCAACCAAATTCAGAAAATTATTGAAAGAAATTTGAAACTGAATAATTGATAACTAAATTGGAGCTTTTCTTCAAATTATTTAAAATACAAAAGCATTAACTTGTGACTGCTTTTCTTTTGGTATATTTCAGCATTTTTAGGGTTTCTATGCTAGTAATGTCCCTAAATTTATAATTACCCTTTCCTACATATAGAAGAGAAAAATAATTTTTGGATTGAGTTTTTTGATTACAGTGGAGATTTTGACATAAACAAATATTTAAAATTCAAGATATAGTCATTTTATAAGGAGACAGGAGATGAAAATTAGGAGGTATAAATGAAAATGTTTTGCCTAAAGTTCCTGGATCCTGATGCCCATAGTCACTCTGAATAATGTTGCTGGAACCTATCCAACATTATACAAACGTTCAGGCTCATTGAAATGGAGACAAATAATATATTTTGAAAACTGCATGAAATCCATCCATAAATAACCAAATTAAGCCTTTGAAGATGGAGAGAACTTTCTATAAGATTCACATCAATTCCGTGAATGACTCAATAAGGCTGACAGCATTTCAGCCATCCAGAACCACCCAGACAGACTGGAAAACATGTTAATCTTCTTGTATAAAAATGTGACCCAAGAGAAATGAAGCTGTATTAATTTGGTTTGTTGTTAGGGAAAAGCACTAGCCAAGTTTTACGACTAATTTTTCCACTTTCACAGTGAAAGAAAATGAAAGTAAAGAGGGTATAAGTCAGTTCTGCCAGGTCAGTTATGACAGGGGTTTTAACACCCTCTCCCCTCCCCTCCCCTCCTCTCCCCTCCCCTCCCCTCCCCTCCTCTCCTCTCCTCTCTTCCTTGACAGAGTCTTGCTCTGTTGCCCAGGCTGGACTGCAGCAGTGTGATTGCAGCTCACCACAACCTCCATCACCCGGGTTCAAGCTATTCTCCTGCCTCAGCCTCCCAAGTAGCTGGTATTACAGGTGCATGTCACCACACCCTGCTAATTTTGTGTGTGTGTGTGTGTGTGTGTGTGTGTGTGTGTGTGTGTGTTTAGTGGAGATGGGGTTTCACCATGTTGGCCAGGCTGGTCTAGAGAACTCTTGACCTCAAGTGATCCACCCGCCTCAGCCTCCCAAAGTGCTGAGATTACAGGCGTGAGCCACCACGCTCTACTAACACCATTTTCCAAGAAGAAAATGCCAACAGAGGATCCTAGATGAGGTAGCACTCGTAGGTTTTTGTAATTAGAGAACTGGGACACCCAGATGAGTCCCCAAGCTGGAAATTGTTAACTATTGACCAAATTAGAAATAAATATGTGTATTCTCCAATGGAAAACTACAATCTTAGAAATCATGCTAATGAATGTTTGAATGAGATACTTCTGTTGGTATTCAGCACTTTCCCTGCCCTTTAAAATCTTCCCTATAGCTCATGGTCTGAAGCCCCAAAACTACATTTCCTACTCTCCTTTGATGCAGAATTTAAGTTTAATTCTAACAAAGGGATCAGTGATAAGAGATGTGAATGATAGAATTGAAGTGTTTTGTTGTTGCTGTTGTTTGTTTTGTTTTTTTCTCTAGGAGCAAAACATGAGATGTTCTGCAGGCTATAGACATAAGGTTTGCAGCATCTTCTGGGTGAGCTCCTGTGAATCACCTGCTTCAGTGCTGTAGAAAACTAAGAGCTTCAGGGATACCTTCCTTAATTCCCATGCCTTCTGATTTCCTGAAAGTCAGCAGTGGCATTCTCTGACTTTTATTCTTCTGGTCCTATTAACAGCTTTTTAAGTATCCAATTCTCTTTCTTAAATCCCTTCCTGCTAAAACAAGCAGAGTGGTTTCTGTTCTCCTGCCAAGGTGTGACAGATAGAACATTTAAATATTAAGATTACTTGATCGAATTCTTGGTGTCCGCATATGGTGTACACACTAAAAATTTCATATAAGGCAAATATTTTCCATAACTTTGTTTCTTGTATTTAAGGTTGTCAAGAAGCATGAGCAGTGGCATGGTTCTAGCTGTTCCATAACATAAAATTTGTTTCCAAAGTGTTGAGAGTACAAGTGCAGGTTTCTTACCTGCACTATGAATGTATTGCATAGTGGTGAAGGGTGAGCTTGTAGTGTACCCATCATCTGAATAGTAAACATTGTATCCAACCAACAGTGTATAAGCTCCTTTTTCTCCACAACCTCACCAGCATCTGTTAGTTTTTGACTTTTTAATAATAGCCTTGCCTGCTTTTTAATGGGGTTATTTGCTTTTTTCTTGTTTAGATATTTGAGGTACTTACAGATTTTGGATAGCAGCTCTTTGTTAGATGCATAGTTTGCAAATATTTTTCCCATTCTGTAGGTTGTCTGTTTACCCTGTTGATTGTTTCTTTTGCTGTGCAGAAACTTTTTAGTTTAAGTCATATTTGTCTATTTTTGTTTTTGTAGCGCTTACTTTTGAGGACTTGGTCATAAATTCTTTTCCTAAGCAAATGTTCAGAGGAGTTTTTCCTAGGTTTTCTTCTAGAACTTTTATAGTTTCACATCTTACATTTAGATCTTTAATTCATCTTGAGTTCATTTTTTTTTCTTGCTGTCACTTTCTTTTTTTTTATTTTATTTTTTATTATTACACTTTAAGTTTTAGGGTACATGTGCACATTGTGCAGGTTAGTTACATATGTATACATGTGCCATGCTGGTGCGCTGCACCCACTAACTCGTCATCTAGCATTAGGTATATCTCCCAATGCTATCCCTCCCCCCTCCCCCAACCCCAAAACAGTCCCCAGAGTGTGATATTCCCCTTCCTGTGTCCATGTGATCTCATTGTACAGTTCCCACCTATGAGTGAGAATATGCGGTGTTTGGTTTTTTGTTCTTGCGATAGTTTACTGAGAATGATGATTTCCAATTTCATCCATGTCCCTACAAAGGACATGAACTCATCATTTTTTATGGCTGCATAGTATTCCATGGTGTATATGTGCCACATTTTCTTAATCCAGTCTATCATTGTTAGACATTTGGGTTGGTTCCAAGTCTTTGCTATTGGGAATAATGCCGCAATAAACATACGTGTGCATGTGTCTTTATAGCAGCATGATTTATAGTCCTTTGGGTATATACCCAGTAATGGGATGGCTGGGTCAAATGGTATTTCCAGTTCTAGATCCCTGAGGAATCGCCACACTGACTTCCACAATGGTTGAACTAGTTCACAGTCCCACCAACAGTGTAAAAGTGTTCCTATTCCAGAGTTCATTTTTGTATATGGTGAGAGGTATGGGTCCAGGCTTATTACTCCGCATATGGCTATCCAATTTTCCCAGCACCATTTATTGAATAGAGTGTCATTTTCCCACTGTATATTGTTGTTAATATTGTCAAAATCAGTTTGTTGTATGTGTGTGGCTTTATATCTGGGTTCTGTGCCTATTTTTATAGCAGTACCATGCTGTTTTGGTCATTATAGCTCTGTGGTATAATTTGAAGTAATTTGAAGTCAGGTAATGTGATGCCTGTAGCTTGTTTTTTTTTTTTTTTTTCCTTTGCTTAGGGTTGCTTTGGCTCTTCAGGCTCTTTTTTGGTACCACATGAATTTTAGGATTTTTTCCCAATTCTGTAGAAAAATGACATTGGTAATTTGATAAGGGTTGCATTAAATCTGTAAATTGCTTTTGGACAGTATGGTCATGTCAACAATGTTGACTCTTCCAGCTCATGAGCAAGGGGTGTTTGTGTCATCTCTGATTTCTTTCATCAGTATTTTATAGTTCTCCTTATGGAGATCTTTTACCTCTCTGGTTAAATATATTCCTAGATTTTTATTTTTTGATAGCTATTATAAACAGGATTGCCTTCTCGATTTGATACTTAGCTAGATCATTACTGGTGTATGGAAATACTACTGGTTTCCATATAATAATTTTGGATCCTGAAACTTTATTGAATCCATTAATAAAATCTAAGAGTTTTTTTGGTGGAGTCTTTAGGTTTTTGTAGATATAGGATCCTGTCATCAGCAAACAGGGATAATTCAACTTTTTCTTTCCCAATTTGGGTGCCTTTTTTTCTCTCTTGTCTAATTGCTCTGGCAAGAACTTCCAGTACAATGTTGAATAAAAGGGGTGAAAGTGAACATCCTTTTATTGTTCCAGTTCTTAGAGGGAGTGCTTTCAACTTTTCTCCATTAAGTATAAAGTTGGTTGAATAACAATATTTTAGTAGGCGTGTTGGAAAAATACATTCCACATGAAGACAAAATATTGTGATAACTTCATCTGGAATAGATTTCTAGATTGTTTGATTATTTGAGGTAATTATCTGGTATAATTATCTAGGTTATCTGGATTTTCTGGGAGTAGAGGTGTACAAGGAGAGAAAACTTAATCTAGGATTTATAGTTCTTTTAGCTTCAGGCAAGATTGTTTCAGAGAAAGGTTTCATAGTAGCAATCCAGAGACTAGAAAAAGACCCAATGAGAAAAAACATACTGCCACAAAGTAGTATGAATGGCCAGCTTTTTCTTCTGAATCAGTAAACAATGGAGAACACAGAGAATTTTTTTTATTTAGAAAAGGAACAATTTCAATCAGTGCTTTGATTGACCCCTTATCAATACTTCACTAAAAGGACTAACTTTAAAAGAAATGTTTAGGACTTCTAACTCTGACAACCAAACTTTGTTGCAGGGAAACCATTTAGGGAAAAAAATACTATATATATTGCAGGTCACACATTTTATTCAAAATTTTAGTAGCTTTATTGAGCTTCCCAGGGTAAAAGGTACATCCTTAAATCTTAAGATTGATTCCATTATTGAATGAAATATTAGCAATGAGAATAACAGGTGCCACTTTGCAGCCATTAAAATATTAATAACTGAAATTATTTGAGAGTAGGAGCACAAAGGCTGCTGTTTTGATCTTTCATCTATAAATTATGTGATGGGCTGAATTGTAAAATTTCCATGGATACATGTTAGCACCCATTTATCGTTACACATATCTGATATTTAAGATAAAAACTAGAAAACATTATTTGGGAACATAAAGCCAATCAAACAAATAATCTGAGCATTAATGAATTCAAAAGCTTGCCGTGTTCCTGAATGGAAAAACAATATTTTTAAAGGGCTAATTCATCTCATGTTAATATCTACATTTTTTTATAGTATGAATTTAAAAGCGACATTTGTTTTTCTTTAACCTTTCAAAACTTATCCTATACTTTATGTGGAAAAATAAGGACATCATAGCCAAAACATTTTGAAAAAGCTGTGATGATTACCAATTAGATGCTACCGAAGACTGAAAAGTATTGTAAGGAGCAGGATGGCATAGCAAGCATGGCTTAAATAAATCACGCCGCATTCATAAAAGAGAATACGCCACATCCACAAGAAAATTAGGTGCACAAGCTGACCAGAAACATGTTGGTGACACATTGATAATGTGGGAAAAAAAATCCTTGTAGACAAAAGTGTTTCACATGGTTATATTTGTGTAAAATCTGCACATGCATCTGTAGGCATGTAGGCAAATGCCTTCATTAGCGTAGAAAAACTTGGCAACACACCAAACTTCTAAAGTGGTCATATTTAAAACATAGTGGGAGCCAATGTAGACACGTGCTTCCTATTTTATGTATGTGGTATATGTGTGTTGAAGCACACATGTGTGATATTGACTTTATGGGTAATTTTCAATTTTTTTGGTATTTTCAATATTATTCAAATTAAAATACACAGAAATCTGTCATATACTACTTTCTATTAGTGCACACACTCATAACTATACATTTATCCACGAAGGAAACTTTGATATTGCTGTCTTTTGAGACGGGCTCCTTTTTATAAAAATGGCCTTTGTTGTGCTGAGAAATTTTGGTTTTGTGAGGGCAATTTGGGATCAGGAGTCAGGACAACCTGAATCATGATTCAGGTTTGCATGATTGCTATGGTTTGAGTGTGGCTTATCCCGGACAAAACTCATGCTGAGATTTAATTGCCAATGTAAAAGTGTTGAGAAGTGTTGGGACCTTTAAAGACGTATTTTGGTCCTGAAGCATCCACCCTGCAAGAGGGAATTAATGCAGTCTCGCTCTCAATGGAACTGGATTAATCAGGAGACAGGTCTTTATTTAAAAAAAGGCCTCCTCTCTCATTTGGTCTCTTCACATGAGCTCACTTCCCCTTTTCTGCTTTCTGCTTTCAGGGTGACATTTCTGTGACAGGCTGACATTGCTGTGGGCAGGAACGGGAGGGAGAACAATCTAAGAGAGCTGATTCTCATCAGAAAGAGAATCTGCTATAATCCTCATCTTGAGAATGTATAATCTGTAATCCTCATCTTAGACTCACCTCTACCTGATGGCTTACCAGTAAGCAATAACATGTAACTGAAATAGAGGTCTTGGAGCAGCCAAGTCTTTGCCATGGTGGGTTCGTTAAAATCAGTATCACATTTATTTAGATAAGAATACCAAGTCATACAGAATGTTCCCCTTTGCAAACCGGGTTGAGATGGAGAAGGAAGCTGTTTAATAAAATTTCTAATTTCTCTCTCTCTCTCTCTCGCTTTGATTTCTAATCCACTGCATGTATAAAAAGACGTCTTCTCCTGTTCTAGTCACTGAGGTCAAGGTGCACTGGACTTTATTGAACAAAATGGATTAGCTAAAGAACATTGATAGGTTGTCCAGAAATTGTCAGTCCTGATCTCCTCACCACAACAAAGACCTTGCACATAAGCCTCCTTTTACAGGAGATGTGTAAAACACCTGCTATAGTGCTTGGAAGAGAGCATGCTTAATAGACGACAATTGTTAAGTAGTAGTAGTAATAGCCTGAGATTATTCCAATTAGTATGAAGTGAATAATCAATACAAATGAATGAAGTACCTGCCATTTGTAATTGCATGGGTGGACTTTCACCTACTTGTAAGGGTACGTTGCATCAGATAATCATTGGTCTACACCAATATTGACGACGCGAATGTACCCACCTTGATTGCCTTAGAATGAGAGGATGCCCACTTCTTCCCTCCTGAACCTGAGGATAAGCAGTCCCTGAAGCACATTACTTAATGCAAGTTTTGTTAGAAGGAGGAAGGGAGGAATGGCTACTAGACAAGCAACCAACAGTGTCTGTTATAATCCTCAGCTTTCCCACTTTTTTGTCTGCCACTTCCTAGCAAATCCCATAACCATATGGTTCTGAATTTAGTAGATGTGTGATGAAGTGAGCATTAAGAGTTTCCATATGGAAGTCTTTTCTCTTCTGTATATCTCATGCAGTCTTACGCGTTCAGACTTTCAGACATGCTGCTGCCTTTGCTTGTCATTCCTTTATGTTTCTCATCTTATTCAGTCTTCAAGATTTAGCCAAAGTATCCTTTCATTTATTTATTCAATCTAAATCTGACAAATATCTATTGTCTATTATATGTTAGGCACAGAAAAATTGTAGGCACAACCTCTGATGGAGAAGATAGAGACGTAAATCAACAATTAAAGCATAGCATATAAAATGCTAATATGGAGGTAGGCATCTTAGCCCCTAGTCACAAAATCCACCTAAGATAGGAGGGTAAACTTGTTGGAGGAGGAAGGCTTAAATGGTATCTGGAAGGAAGAGAAGGAGTCACTAAGGCAGGCAGGAATAATGGTCCTGCCTATGTTCAGTGTACAGGATTCTGAGAGAATATGTGTGATGGTTAATTTTATGTGCCAACCTGACTGGGCTAAAGGATGCCCAGATAGCTGGAAAAATATTATTTCTGGGTGTGTTTGTGAGGGTGTTTCTGGAAGTGATTAGCATTTGAATCAGTAGATTGAGTAAAGAAGATCTGCTCTCACCAATGAGGGTGAACAATATTCAATCTCTTCTGGGCTTAAATGGAACATAAAAGTCAAAGAAGGGCAAATTCTTTCTTTGAGCTGGGACATGGATCTGACCTTGAACGTCAGTGCTTCTGGTTCTAAGGCCTTTCCCATGCAGACTGGGAGTTATGCCTTTGGCTTCTCAGGCTTTAGACTCAGACTGAATTACACCATCACCTTTCCTGGTTTTCCAGCTTGCAGACAGTATATCGTAGGAGTTCCCTATCTCCATAATCATGTTTCTTTTTTTATTGTAGCTCATTCCCAAGCCATGCTTTTTTAGGTCCCCGAGCCTCCATTCAGACTGGAAAACTTGTCCCGAGATGTTTCCAGTCGGGACTTTGCCTGAACTAATGTGCCTCTGCTGTTTGCTTCATGCCTATAATAGTTGCTTAAGACAGTGTCCATGTGTGTAGATTTTTGAAAATGCTGGTGAGAGAACTCTCACTATGGAATTGCTTTAAATAGTCTTCCACCTTGCCTTTAGTAAAAGTAAAATTTAAACTTAGAACAGTCATGAGTCATTTAATGATAGCAAAACGTTCTGATAAATGACATCAGGCGATTTTGTTGTAGTGTGAACATCATAGATTGTACTCAAAGAAAATTAGATACTACAGCCTACTACACACCCAGGCTATGTGGTCAGCCTCTTGCTCCTAGGCTGCAAACCTGTATAGCCTGTCACT